>NC_000001.11:124785532-124849129 GCF_000001405.40 Homo sapiens | reverse complement strand
TCTGTTTAGTTCTGTGAGGTTTATCCCGTTTCCAACGAAATCCTCAGAGAAGCCCAAACACCCACTTGCAGATTCTACAAAAAGTGTGTTTCGAAACTGCTCCATCCAAAACAATGTTCAGCTCTCTGGGTTGAACTCAATCGTCACAAAGTGTTTCCTGAGAATGCTGCTGTCTAGTTTTTATGGGCAGTGATTTCCTCTACTGCCATAGGCCTCAAAGCGGACCAAATCTCCCCTTGCCGATTGAACCAAAAGTGTGTCTCCAAACGGCTCTATCAAAGGGAATGTTCAACTCTGTGACCTGAAAGCAATCATCACAAAGTAGTTTCTGAGAATGCTTCCGTCTAGGTTTTATGAGTAGATATTTCCTTTTCCACCACAGGCCTCGAAGCCCTCCAAATGTCCACTTGCAGATTCTAGAAAGAGAGGGTTTCAAAGCTGCTCTATCGAAAGGAAATTACAACTCTGTGAGTTGAATGCAAACATCACCAAGAAGGCTCTGAGCATGCTTCCGTTTAGCTTTTATGGGAAGATTATCCCTTTTCCATCGAAATCTCCAAAGAGCCCCAAATATCCGCTTGCAGGTCCCAGTGAAAGAGTGTTTCCGAACTGCTGTATCAAAAGGAACCTTCAACTCCGTGAGTTGAATGCCATCATCACAAAGACGTTTCTGACAATGCTTCTCTCTAGTTTTGAGGTGAAGATATTTCCTTTTCCACCACAGGCCTGAAAGCGCTCCAAACGTCCACTTGGAGACTCTACGAAAAGAATGTTTCAAAACTGCTCTATGAAAAGCATGGTTAAAGTCTGGGAGTTGAACACATGCCTCACAAAGAAGTTTCTGAGAAGGCATCCGTTTACTCTTTAAGTGAAGATATTCCCGTTTCCAAGGAAATCTTCACAGAGTTCCACCTATCCATGTGCAGATTCCAGAAAAAAGAGAGTTTCGAAACTGCTCTATCCAAAGGAATGTTCAACTCTGTGAGTTGCATGCAATCATCACAGAGAAGTTTCTGAGAAGGCTTCTGTCTGGATTTTATGTGAAGATATACCCATTTCGAACGAAGGCCACAAAGTGCTCCCAATATCCACTTGCAGATCCTACAAAAAGAGTGTTTCCAACGTGAACTATCAAGGGAAGGTTCAACTCTGGACTTTGAATGCAAACGTCACAAAGAAGTTTCTGCGAAAGCTTCTGTTTAGTTAGGTGACGGTTATCCCGTTTCCAACGAAATCCTCAGGGAGGTCCAACTGTCCACTTGCAGATTCTACAAAAAGTGTGTTTCAAAACTGCTCCATCCAAAGGAATGTTCCGCTCTGTGAGTTCAACTCAATCATCCCAAAGTATTTACTGCGAATGCTTGTGTTCAGTTTTTACACGAAGCTATTTCCTTTACTACCGTAGGCCTCAAAGCGTTCCAAATCTCCACTTGCAGATACTACGAAAAGAGTGTTTCAACTTGAACTCACAAGGGAATGTTCAACCCCGTGAGTTGAATGCCAACATCACGAAGAAGTTTCTGAGAATGCTTCTGTTTAGTTCTGTGAGGTTTATCCCGTTTCCAACAAAATCCTCAGAGAAGTCCAAACACCCACTTGCAGATTCTACAAAAAGTGTGTTTCGAAACTGCTCCATCCAAAACAATGTTCAGCTCTGTGGGTTGAACTCAATCGTCACAAAGTGTTTCCTGAGAATGCTGCTGTCTAGTTTTTATGGGCAGTGATTTCCTCTACTGCCATAGGCCTCAAAGCGGTCCAAATCTCCCCTTGCCGATTCTACCAAAAGTGTGTTTCCAAACGGCTCTATCAAAGGGAATGTTCAACTCTGTGACCTGAAAGCACTCATCACAAAGTAGTTTCTGAGAACGCTTCCATCTAGCTTTTATGAGTAGATAGTTCCTTTTCCACCACAGGCCTCGAAGCCCTCCAAATGTCCACTTGCAGATTCTAGAAAGAGAGGGTTTCAAAGCTGCTCTGTCGAAAGGAAAGTACAACTCTGTGAGTTGAATGCAAACATCACCAAGAAGGCTCTGAGCACGCTTCCGTTTAGCTTTTATGGGAAGATTATCCCTTTTCCATCGAAATCTCCAAAGAGGTCCAAATATCCGCTTGCAGGTCCCACTGAAAGAGTGTTTCCAAACTGCTGTATCAAAAGGAACCTTCAACTCCGTGAGTTGAATGCCATCATCACAAAGACGTTTCTGACAATGCTTCTCTCTAGTTTTGAGGTGAAGATATTTCCTTTTCCACCACAGGCCTGAAAGCGCTCCAAACGTCCACTTGGAGACTCTACGAAAAGAATGTTTCAAAACTGCTCTATGAAAAGCAAGGTTAAAGTCTGGGAGTTGAACACATGCCTCACAAAGAAGTTTCTGAGAAGGCATCCGTTTACTCTTTAAGTGAAGATATTCCCGTTTCCAAGGAAATCTTCACAGAGTTCCACCTATCCATGTGCAGATTCCAGAAAAAAGAGAGTTTCGAAACTGCTCTATCCAAAGGAATGTTCAACTCTGTGAGTTGCATTCAATCATCACAGAGAAGTTTCTGAGAAGGCTTCTGTCTGGATTTTATGTGAAGATATACCCATTTCGAACGAAGGCCACAAAGTGCTCCCAATATCCACTTGCAGATCCTACAAAAAGAGTGTTTCCAACGTGAACTATCAAGGGAAGGTTCAACTCTGGACTTTGAATGCAAACGTCACAAAGAAGTTTCTGCGAAAGCTTCTGTTTAGTTAGGTGACGTTATCCCGTTTCCAAAGAAATCCTCAGGGAGGTACAACTGTCCACTTGCAGATTCTACAAAAAGTGTGTTTCAAAACTGCTCCATCCAAAGGAATGTTCCACTCTGTGAGTTCAACTCAATCATCCCAAAGTATTTTCTGCGAATGCTTCTGTCCAGTTTTTACACGAAGCTATTTCCTTTACTACCGTAGGCCTCAAAGCGTTCCAAATCTCCACTTGCAGATACTACGAAAAGAGTGTTTCAACTTGAACTCACAAGGGAATGTTCAACCCCGTGAGTTGAATGCCAACATCACGAAGAAGTTTCTGAGAACGCTTCTGTTTAGTTCTGTGAGGTTTATCCCGTTTCCAAGGAAATCCTCAGAGAAGTCCAAACACCCACTTGCAGATTCTACAAAAAGTGTGTTTCGAAACTGCTCCATCCAAAACAATGTTCAGCTCTGTGAGTTGAACTCAATCGTCACAAAGTGTTTCCTGAGAATGCTGCTGTCTAGTTTTTATGGGCAGTGATTTCCTCTACTGCCATAGGCCTCAAAGCGGTCCAAATCTCCCCTTGCCGATTCTACCAAAAGTGTGTCTCCAAACGGCTCTATCAAAGGGAATGTTCAACTCTGTGACCTGAAAGTAATCATCACAAAGTAGTTTCTGAGAATGCTTCCATCTAGCTTTTATGAGTAGATAGTTCCTTTTCCACCACAGGCCTCGAAGCCCTCCAAATGTCCACTTGCAGATTCTAGAAAGAGAGGGTTTCAAAGCTGCTCTGTCGAAAGGAAAGTACAACTCTGTGAGTTGAATGCAAACATCACCAAGAAGGCTCTGAGCACGCTTCCGTTTAGCTTTTATGGGAAGATTATCCCTTTTCCATCGAAATCTCCAAAGAGCCCCAAATATCCGCTTGCAGGTCCCACTGAAAGAGTGTTTCCAAACTGCTGTATCAAAAGGAACCTTCAACTCCGTGAGTTGAATGCCATCATCACAAAGACGTTTCTGACAATGCTTCTCTCTAGTTTTGAGGTGAAGATATTTCCTTTTCCACCACAGGCCTGAAAGCGCTCCAAACGTCCACTTGGAGACTCTACGAAAAGAATGTTTCAAAACTGCTCTATGAAAAGCAAGGTTAAAGTCTGGGAGTTGAACACATGCCTCACAAAGAAGTTTCTGAGAAGGCATCCGTTTACTCTTTAAGTGAAGATATTCCCGTTTCCAAGGAAATCTTCACAGAGTTCCACCTATCCATGTGCAGATTCCAGAAAAAAGAGAGTTTCGAAACTGCTCTATGCAAAGGAATGTTCAACTCTGTGAGTTGCATGCAATCATCACAGATAAGTTTCTGAGAAGGCTTCTGTCTGGATTTTATGTGAAGATATACCCATTTCGAACGAAGGCCACAAAGTGCTCCCAATATCCACTTGCAGATCCTACAAAAAGAGTGTTTCAAACGTGAACTATCAAGGGAAGGTTCAACTCTGGACTTTGAATGCAAACGTCACAAAGAAGTTTCTGCGAAAGCTTCTGTTTAGTTAGGTGACGTTATCCCGTTTCCAAAGAAATCCTCAGGGAGGTCCAACGGTCCACTTGCAGATTCTACAAAAAGTGTGTTTCAAAACTGCTCCATCCAAAAGAATGTTCCGCTCTGTGAGTTCAACTCAATCATCCCAAAGTATTTTCTGCGAATGCTTCTGTCCAGTTTTTACACGAAGCTATTTCCTTTACTACAGTAGGCCTCAAAGCGTTCCAAATCTCCACTTGCAGATACTACGAAAAGAGTGTTTCAACTTGAACTCACAAGGGAATGTTCAACACCGTGAGTTGAATGCCAACATCACGAAGAAGTTTCTGAGAATGCTTCTGTTTAGTTCTGTGAGGTTTATCCCGTTTCCAACGAAATCCACAGAGAAATCCAAACACCCACTGGCAGATTTTACAAAAAGTGTGTTTCGAAACTGCTCCATCCAAAACAATGTTCAGCTCTGTGGGTTGAACTCAATCGTCACAAAGTGTTTCCTGAGAATGCTGCTGTCTAGTTTTTATGGGCAGTGATTTCCTCTACTGCCATAGGCCTCAAAGCGGTCCAAATCTCCCCTTGCCGATTGAACCAAAAGTGTGTCTCCAAACGGCTCTATCAAAGGGAATGTTCAACTCTGTGACCTGAAAGCAATCATCACAAAGTAGTTTCTGAGAATGCTTCCATCTAGCTTTTATGAGTAGATAGTTCCTTTTCCACCACAGGCCTCGAAGCCCTCCAAATGTCCACTTGCAGATTCTAGAAAGAGAGGGTTTCAAAGCTGCTCTGTCGAAAGGAAAGTACAACTCTGTGAGTTGAATGCAAACATCACCAAGAAGGCTCTGAGCACGCTTCCGTTTAGCTTTTATGGGAAGATTATCCCTTTTCCATCGAAATCTCCAAAGAGCCCCAAATATCCGCTTGCAGGTCCCACTGAAAGAGTGTTTCCGAACTGCTGTATCAAAAGGAACCTTCAACTCCGTGAGTTGAATGCCATCATCACAAAGACGTTTCTGACAATGCTTCTCTCTAGTTTTGAGGTGAAGATATTTCCTTTTCCACCACAGGCCTGAAAGCGCTCCTAACGTCCACTTGGAGACTCT
The DNA here is from genome assembly GCF_000001405.40 of Homo sapiens. Lineage (NCBI taxonomy): Eukaryota > Metazoa > Chordata > Mammalia > Primates > Hominidae > Homo > Homo sapiens. Next base: position 124,843,778 of record NC_000001.11, on the reverse strand, counting down.
ACGAAAAGAATGTTTCAAAACTGCTCTATGAAAAGCAAGGTTAAAGTCTGGGAGTTGAACACATGCCTCACAAAGAAGTTTCTGAGAAGGCATCTGCTTACTCTTTAAGTGAAGATATTCCCGTTTCCAAGGAAATCTTCACCGAGTTCCACCTATCCATGTGCAGATTCTAGAAAAAAGAGAGATTCGAAACTGCTCTATCCAAAGGAATGTTCAACTCTGTGAGTTGCACGCAGTCATCACAGAGAAGTTGCTGAGAAGGCTTCTGTCTGGATTTTATGTGAAGATATACCCATTTCGAACGAAGGCCACAAAGTGCTCCCAATATCCACTTGCAGATCCTACAAAAAGAGTGTTTCCAACGTGAACTATCAAGGGAAGGTTCAACTCTGGACTTTGAATGCAAACGTCACAAAGAAGTTTCTGCGAAAGCTTCTGTTTAGTTAGGTGACGTTATCCCGTTTCCAACGAAATCCTCAGGGAGGTCCAACTGTCCACTTGCAGATTCTACAAAAAGTGTGTTTCAAAACTGCTCCATCCAAAGGAATGTTCCGCTCTGTGAGTTCAACTCAATCATCCCAAAGTATTTTCTGCGAATGCTTCTGTCCAGTTTTTACACGAAGCTATTTCCTTTACTACCGTAGGTCTCAAAGCGTTCCAAATCTCCACTTGCAGATACTACGAAAAGAGTGTTTCAACTTGAACTCACAAGGGAATGTTCAACCCCGTGAGTTGAATGCCAACCTCACGAAGAAGTTTCTGAGAATGCTTCTGTTTAGTTCTGTGAGGTTTATCCCGTTTCCAACAAAATCCTCAGAGAAGTCCAAACACCCACTTGCAGATTCTACAAAAAGTGTGTTTCGAAACTGCTCCATCCAAAACAATGTTCAGCTCTGTGGGTTGAACTCAATCGTCACAAAGTGTTTCCTGAGAATGCTGCTGTCTAGTTTTTATGGGCAGTGATTTCCTCTACTGCCATAGGCCTCAAAGCGGTCCAAATCTCCCCTTGCCGATTCTACCAAAAGTGTGTTTCCAAACGGCTCTATCAAAGGGAATGTTCAACTCTGTGACCTGAAAGCACTCATCACAAAGTAGTTTCTGAGAACGCTTCCATCTAGCTTTAATGAGTAGATAGTTCCTTTTCCACCACAGGCCTCGAAGCCCTCCAAATGTCCACTTGCAGATTCTAGAAAGAGAGGGTTTCAAAGCTGCTCTGTCGAAAGGAAAGTACAACTCTGTGAGTTGAATGCAAACATCACCAAGAAGGCTCTGAGCACGCTTCCGTTTAGCTTTTATGGGAAGATTATCCCTTTTCCATCGAAATCTCCAAAGAGGTTCAAATATCCGCTTGCAGGTCCCACTGAAAGAGTGTTTCCAAACTGCTGTATCAAAAGGAACCTTGAACTCCGTGAGTTGAATGCCATAATCACAAATACGTTTCTGACAATGCTTCTCTCTGGTTTTGAGGTGAAGATATTTCCTTTTCCACCACAGGCCTGAAAGCGCTCCAAACGTCCACTTGGAGACTCTACGAAAAGAATGTTTCAAAACTGCTCTATGAAAAGCAAGGTTGAAGTCTGGGAGTTGAACACATGCCTCACAAAGAAGTTTCTGAGAAGGCATCCGTTTACTCTTTAAGTGAAGATATTCCCGTTTCCAAGGAAATCTTCACAGAGTTCCACCTATCCATGTGCAGATTCCAGAAAAAAGAGAGTTTCGAAACTGCTCTATCCAAAGGAATGTTCAACTCTGTGAGTTGCATGCAATCATCACAGAGAAGTTTCTGAGAAGGCTTCTGTCTGGATTTTATGTGAAGATATACCCATTTCGAACGAAGGCCACAAAGTGCTCCCAATATCCACTTGCAGATCCTACAAAAAGAGTGTTTCAAACGTGAACTATCAAGGGAAGGTTCAACTCTGGACTTTGAATGCAAACGTCACAAAGAAGTTTCTGCGAAAGCTTCTGTTTAGTTAGGTGACGTTATCCCGTTTCCAAAGAAATCCTCAGGGAGGTCCAACTGTCCACTTGCAGATTCTACAAAAAGTGTGTTTCAAAACTGCTCCATCCAAAGGAATGTTCCGCTCTGTGAGTTCAACTCAATCATCCCAAAGTATTTTCTGCGAATGCTTCTGTCCAGTTTTTAAAAGAAGCTATTTCCTTTACTACCGTAGGCCTCAAAGCGTTCCATATCTCCACTTGCAGATACTACGAAAGGAGTGTTTCAACTTGAACTCACAAGGGAATGTTCAACCACGTGAGTTGAATGCCAACATCACGAAGAAGTTTCTGAGAATGCTTCTGTTTAGTTCTGTGAGGTTTATCCCGTTTCCAACGAAATCCACAGAGAAATCCAAACACCCACTGGCAGATTCTACAAAAAGTGTGTTTCGAAACTGCTCCATCCAAAACAATATTCAGCTCTGTGGGTTGAACTCAATCGTCACAAAGTGTTTCCTGAGAATGCTGCTGTCTAGTTTTTATGGGCAGTGATTTCCTATACTGCCATAGGCCTCAAAGCGGTCCAAATCTCCCCTTGCCGATTCTACCAAAAGTGTGTTTCCAAACGGCTCTATCAAAGGGAATGTTCAACTCTGTGACCTGAAAACAATCATCACAAAGTAGTTTCTGAGAATGCTTCCATCTAGCTTTTATGAGTAGATAGTTCCTTTTCCACCACAGGCCTCGAAGCCCACCAAATGTCCACTTGCAGATTCTAGAAAGAGAGGGTTTCAAAGCTGCTCTGTTGAAAGGAAAGTACAACTCTGTGAGTTGAATGCAAACATCACCAAGAAGGCTCTGAGCACGCTTCCGTTTAGCTTTTATGGGAAGATTATCCCTTTTCCATCGAAATCTCCAAAGAGGTCCAAATATCCGCTTGCAGGTCCCACTGAAAGAGTGTTTCCAAACTGCTGTATCAAAAGGAACCTTGAACTCCGTGAGTTGAATGCCATAATCACAAAGACGTTTCTGACAATGCTTCTCTCTAGTTTTGAGGTGAAGATATTTCCTTTTCCACCACAGGCCTGAAAGCGCTCCAAACGTCCACTTGGAGACTCTACGAAAAGAATGTTTCAAAACTGCTCTATGAAAAGCAAGGTTAAAGTCTGGGAGTTGAACACATGCCTCACAAAGAAGTTTCTGAGAAGGCATCTGTTTACTCTTTAAGTGAAGATATACCCGTTTCCAAGGAAACCTTCACAGAGTTCCACCTATCCACGTGCAGATTCCAGAAAAAAGAGAGTTTCAAAACTGCTCTATACAAAGGAATGTTCAACTCTGTGAGTTGCACGCCATCATCACAGAGAAGTTTCTGAGAAGGCTTCTGTCTGGATTTTATGTGAAGATATACCCATTTCGAACGAAGGCCACAAAGTGCTCCCAATATCCACTTGCAGATCCCACAAGAAGAGTGTTTCAAACGTGAACTATCAAAGGAAGATTCAACTCCGGACTTTGAATGCAAACGTCACAAAGAAGTTTCTGCGAAAGCTTGTGTTTAGTTATGGGAAATTATTCCCGTTTCCAACGAAATCCTCAGAGAGCTCCAAATATCCACCTGCAGATTCTACAAAAAGTGTGTTTCAAAACGGCTCCATCCAAAGGAATGTTCCGCTCTGTGAGTTGAACTCAATCATCCCAAAGTATTTTCTGCGAATGCTTCTGTCCAGTTTTTACACGAAGCTATTTCCGTTACTACCGTAGGCCTCAAAGCGTTGCGATTCTCCATTTTCAGATACTACGAAAAGAGTGTTTCAACTTGAACTCACAAGGGAATGTTCAACCCCGTGAGTTGAATGCCAACATCACGAAGAAGTTTCTGAGAATGCTTCTGTTTAGTTCTGTGAGGTTTATCCCGTTTCCAAGGAAATCCTCAGAGAAGTCCAAACACCCACTTGCAGATTCTACAAAAAGTGTGTTTCGAAACTGCTCCATCCAAAACAATGTTCAGCTCTGTGGGTTGAACTCAATCGTCACAAAGTGTTTCCTGAGAATGCTGCTGTCTAGTTTTTATGGGCAGTGATTTCCTCTACTGCCATAGGCCTCAAAGCGGTCCAAATCTCCCCTTGCCGATTCTACCAAAAGTGTGTTTCCAAACGGCTCTATCAAAGGGAATGTTCAACTCTGTGACCTGAAAGCAATCATCACAAAGTAGTTTCTGAGAATGCTTCCATCTATCTTTTATGAGTAGATATTTCCTTTTCTACCACAGGCCTCGAAGCCCTCCCAATGTCCACTTGCAGATTCTAGAGAGAGAGGGTTTCAAAGCTGCTCTATCAAAAGGAAAGTACAACACTGGGAGTTGAATGCAAACATCACAAAGAAGTCTCTGAGCATGCTTCCATTTAGCTTTTATGGGAAGATTATCCCTTTTCCATCGAAATCTTCCAAGAGCTCCAAGTATCCGCTTGCAGGTCCCTCTGATAGAGTGTTTCCAAGCGGCTGTATCAAAAGGAGCCTTCCACTCCGTGAGATGAATGCAGTCATCACAAAGAAGAAGTTTCTGACAATGCTTCTCTCTGGTTTTGAGGTGAAGATATTTCCTTTTCCACCACAAGCCTGAAAGCCCTCCAAACGTCCAATTGGAGAGCCTACGAAAAGAATGTTTCAAAACTGCTCTATGAAAAGCAAGGTTGAAGTCTGGGAGTTGAACACATGCCTCACAAAGAAGTTTCTGAGAAGGCATCTGTTTACTCTTTAAGTGAAGATATTCCCGTTTCTAAGGAAATCTTCACAGAGTTCCACCTATCCATGTGCAGATTCTAGAAAAAAGAGAGTTTCGAAACTGCTCTATCCAAAGGAATGTTCAACTCTGTGAGTTGCACGCAATCATCACAGAGAAGTTTCTGAGAAGGCTTCTGTCTGGATTTTATGTGAAGATATACCCATTTCGAACGAAGGCCACAAAGTGCTCCCAATATCCACTTGCAGATCCTACAAAAAGAGTGTTTCCAACGTGAACTATCAAGGGAAGGTTCAACTCTGGACTTTGAATGCAAACGTCACAAAGAAGTTTCTGCGAAAGCTTCTGTTTAGTTAGGTGACGTTATCCCGTTTCCAAAGAAATCCTCAGGGAGGTCCAACTGTCCACTTGCAGATTCTACAAAAAGTGTGTTTCAAAACTGCTCCATCCAAAGGAATGTTCCGCTCTGTGAGTTCAACTCAATCATCCCAAAGTATTTTCTGCGAATGCTTCTGTCCAGTTTTTACACGAAGCTATTTCCTTTACTACCGTAGGCCTCAAAGCGTTCCAAATCTCCACTTGCAGATACTACGAAAAGAGTGTTTCAACTTGAACTCACAAGGGAATGTTCAACCCCGTGAGTTGAATGCCAACATCACGAAGAAGTTTCTGAGAACGCTTCTGTTTAGTTCTGTGAGGTTTATCCCGTTTCCAACGATATCCTCAGAGAAGTCCAAACACCCACTTGCAGATCCTATAAAAAGTGTGTTTCGAAACTGCTCCATCCAAAACAATGTTCAGCTCTGTGGGTTGAACTCAATCGTCACAAAGTGTTTCCGGAGAATGCTGCTGTCTAGTTTTTATGGGCAGTGATTTCCTCTACTGCCATAGACCTCAAAGCGGTCCAAATCTCCCCTTGCCGATTCTACCAAAAGTGTGTTTCCAAACGGCTCTATCAAAGGGAATGTTCAACTATGTGACCTGAAAAAAATCATCACAAAGTAGTTTCTGAGAATGCTTCCATCTAGGTTTTATGAGTAGATATTTCCTTTTCCACCACAGGCCTCGAAGCCCTCCAAATGTCCACTTGCAGATTCTAGAAAGAGAGGGTTTCAAAGCTGCTCTATCGAAAGGAAAGTACAACTCTGTGAGTAGAATGCAAACATCACCAAGAAGGCTCTGATCACGCTTCCGTTTAGCTTTTATGGGAAGATTATCTCTTTTCCATCAAAATCTCCAAAGAGGTCCAAATAACCGCTTGCAGGTCCCACTGAAAGAGTGTTCCCAAACTGCTGTATCAAAAGGAACCTTCAACTCCGTGAGTTGAATGCCATCATCACAAAGACGTTTCTGACAATGCTTCTCTCTAGTTTTTAGCTGAAGATATTTCCTTTTCCACCACAGGCCTGAAAGCGCTCCAAACGTCCACTTGGATACTCTACGAAAAGAATGTTTCAAAACTGCCCTAAGAAAAGCAAGGTTAAATTCTGGGAGTTGAACAAATGCCTCAAAAAGAAGTTTCAGAGAAGGCATCTGTTTACTCTTTAAGTGAAGATATTCCCGTTTCTAAGGAAATCTTCACAGAGTTCCACCTATCCATGTGCAGATTCTAGAAAAAAGAGAGTTTCGAAACTGCTCTATCCAAAGGAATGTTCAACTCTGTGAGTTGCACGCAATCATCACAGAGAAGTTTCTGAGAAGGCTTCTGTCTGGATTTTATGTGAAGATATACCCATTTCGAACGAAGGCCACAAAGTGCTCCCAATATCCACTTGCAGATCCTACAAAAAGAGTGTTTCCAACGTGAACTATCAAGGGAAGGTTCAACTCTGGACTTTGAATGCAAACGTCACAAAGAAGTTTCTGCGAAAGCTTCTGTTTAGTTAGGTGACGTTATCCCGTTTCCAAAGAAATCCTCAGGGAGGTCCAACTGTCCACTTGCAGATTCTACAAAAAGTGTGTTTCAAAACTGCTCCATCCAAAGGAATGTTCCGCTCTGTGAGTTCAACTCAATCATCCCAAAGTATTTTCTGCGAATGCTTCTGTCCAGTTTTTACACGAAGCTATTTCCTTTACTACCGTAGGCCTCAAAGCGTTCCAAATCTCCACTTGCAGATACTACGAAAAGAGTGTTTCAACTTGAACTCACAAGGGAATGTTCAAACCCGTGAGTTGAATGCCAACATCACGAAGAAGTTTCTGAGAATGCTTCTGTTTAGTTCTGTGAGGTTTTCCCCTTTCCAACGAAATCCACAGAGAAATCCAAACACCCACTGGCAGATTCTACAAAAAGTGTGTTTCGAAACTGCTCCATCCAAAACAATGTTCAGCTCTGTGGGTTGAACTCAATCGTCACAAAGTGTTTCCTGAGAATGCTGCTGTCTAGTTTTTATGGGCAGTGATTTCCTCTACTGCCATAGACCTCAAAGCGGTCCAAATCTCCCCTTGCCGATTCTACCAAAAGTGTGTTTCCAAACGGCTCTATCAAAGGGAATGTTCAACTATGTGACCTGAAAAAAATCATCACAAAGTAGTTTCTGAGAATGCTTCCGTCTAGGTTTTATGAGTAGATATTTCCTTTTCCACCACAGGCCTCGAAGCCCTCCAAATGTCCACTTGCAGATTCTAGAAAGAGAGGGTTTCAAAGCTGCTCTATCGAAAGGAAAGTACAACTCTGTGAGTTGAATGCAAACATCACCAAGAAGGCTCTGAGCACGCTTCCGTTTAGCTTTTATGGGAAGATTATCCCTTTTCCATCGAAATCTCCAAAGAGCCCCAAATATCCGCTTGCAGGTCCCACTGAAAGAGTGTTTCCGAACTGCTGTATCAAAAGGAACCTTCAACTCCGTGAGTTGAATGCCATCATCACAAAGACGTTTCTGACAATGCTTCTCTCTAGTTTTGAGGTGAAGATATTTCCTTTTCCACCACAGGCCTGAAAGCGCTCCAAACGTCCACTTGGAGACTCTACGAAAAGAATGTTTCAAAACTGCTCTATGAAAAGCAAGGTTAAAGTCTGGGAGTTGAACACATGCCTCACAAAGAAGTTTCTGAGAAGGCATCCGTTTACTCTTTAAGTGAAGATATTCCCGTTTCCAAGGAAATCTTCACAGATTTCCACCTATCCATGTGCAGATTCCAGAAAAAAGAGAGTTTCGAAACTGCTCTATCCAAAGGAGTGTTCAACTCTGTGAGTTGCATGCAATCATCACAGAGAAGTTTCTGAGAAGGCTTCTGTCTGGATTTTATGTGAAGATATACCCATTTCGAACGAAGGCCACAAAGTGCTCCCAATATCCACTTGCAGATCCTACAAAAAGTGTGTTTCAAACGTGAACTGTCAAAAGAAGTTTCAACTCTCGACTTTGAATGCAAACGTCACAAAGAAGATTCTGTGAAAGCTTCTGTTTAGTTAGGTGACGTTATCCCGTTTCCAACGAAATCCTCAGGAAGGTCCAACTGTCCACTTGCAGATTCTACAAAAAGTGTGTTTCAAAACTGCTCCATCCAAAGGAATGTTCCAGTCTGTGAGTTCAACTCAATCATCCCAAAGTATTTTCTGCGAATGCTTCTGTCCAGTTTTTACACGAAGCTATTTCCTTTACTACCGTAGGCCTCAAAGCGTTCCAAATCTCCACTTGCAGATACTACGAAAAGAGTGTTTCAACTTGAACTCACAAGGGAATGTTCAACCACGTGAGTTGAATGCCAACATCACGAAGAAGTTTCTGAGAATGCTTCTGTTTAGTTCTGTGAGGTTTATCCCGTTTCCAACGAAATCCACAGAGAAATCCAAACACCCACTTGCAGATTCTACAAAAAGTGTGTTTCGAAACTTCTCCATCCAAAACAATGTTCAGCTCTGTGGGTTGAACTCAATCGTCACAAAGTGTTTCCTGAGAATGCTGCTGTCTAGTTTTTATGGGCAGTGATTTCCTCTACTGCCATAGGCCTCAAAGCGGTCCAAATCTCCCCTTGCCGATTCTACCAAAAGTGTGTTTCCAAACGGCTCTATCAAAGGGAATGTTCAACTCTGTGACCTGAAAGCAATCATCACAAAGTAGTTTCTGAGAATGCTTCCATCTAGCTTTTATGAGTAGATAGTTCCTTTTCCACCACAGGCCTCGAAGCCCACCAAATGTCCACTTGCAGATTCTAGAAAGAGAGGGTTTCAAAGCTGCTCTGTCGAAAGGAAAGTACAACTCTGTGAGTTGAATGCAAACATCACCAAGAAGGCTCTGAGCACGGCTTCCGTTTAGCTTTTATGGGAAGATTATCCCTTTTCCATCAAAATCTCCAAAGAGGTCCAAATATCCGCTTGCAGGTCCCACTGAAAGAGTGTTTACAAACTGCTGTATCAAAAGGAACCTTCAACTCCGTGAGTTGAATGCCATAATCACAAATACGTTTCTGACAATGCTTCTCTCTAGTTTTGAGGTGAAGATATTTCCTTTTCCACCACAGGCCTGAAAGCGCTCCAAACGTCCACTTGGAGACTCTACGAAAAGAATGTTTCAAAACTGCTCTATGAAAAGCAAGGTTAAAGTCTGGGAGTTGAACACATGCCTCACAAAGAAGTTTCTGAGAAGGCATCCGTTTACTCTTTAAGTGAAGATATTCCCGTTTCCAAGGAAATCTTCACAGAGTTCCACCTATCCATGTGCAGATTCCAGAAAAAAGAGAGTTTCGAAACTGCTCTATCCAAAGGAATGTTCAACTCTGTGAGTTGCATGCAATCATCACAGAGAAGTTTCTGAGAAGGCTTCTGTCTGGATTTTATGTGAAGATATACCCATTTCGAACGAAGGCCACAAAGTGCTCCCAATATCCACTTGCAGATCCTACAAAAAGAGTGTTTCAAACGTGAACTGTCAAAGGAAGTTTCAACTCTGGACTTTGAATGCAAACGTCCCAAAGAAGATTCTGCAAAAGCTTCTGTTTAGTTAGGTGACGTTATCCCGTTTCCAAAGAAATCCTCAGGGAGGTCCAACTGTCCACTTGCAGATTCTACAAAAAGTGTGTTTCAAAACTGCTCCATCCAAAGGAATGTTCCACTCTGTGAGTTCAACTCAATCATCCCAAAGTATTTTCTGCGAATGCTTCTGTCCAGTTTTTACACGAAGCTATTTCCTTTACTACCGTAGGCCTCAAAGCGTTCCAAATCTCCACTTGCAGATACTACGAGAAGAGTGTTTCAACTTGAACTCACAAGGGAATGTTCAACCCCGTGAGTTGAATGCCAACATCACGAAGAAGTTTCTGAGAACGCTTCTGTTTAGTTCTGTGAGGTTTATCCCGTTTCCAAGGAAATCCTCAGAGAAGTCCAAACACCCACTTGCAGATTCTACAAAAAGTGTGTTTCGAAACTTCTCCATCCAAAACAATGTTCAGCTCTGTGGGTTGAACTCAATCGTCACAAAGTGTTTCCTGAGAATGCTGCTGTCTAGTTTTTATGGGCAGTGATTTCCTCTACTGCCATAGGCCTCAAAGCGGTCCAAATCTCCCATTGCCGATTCTACCAAAAGTGTGTCTCCAAACGGCTCTATCAAAGGGAATGTTCAACTCTGTGACCTGAAAGGAATCATCACAAAGTAGTTTCTGAGAATGCTTCCATCTAGCCTTTATGAGTAGATATTTCCTTTTCCACCACAGGCCTCGAAGCCCTCCAAATGTCCACTTGCAGATTCTAGAAATAGAGGGTTTCATAGCTGCTCTATCTAAAGGAAAGTACAACTCTGTGAGTTGAATGCAAACATCACAAAGAAGGCTCTGAGCATACTTCCGTTTAGCTTTTATGGGAAGATTATCCCTTTTCCATCGAAATCTCCAAAGAGGTCCAAATATCCGCTTGCAGGTCCCACTGAAAGAGTGTTTCCAAACTGCTGTATCAAAAGGAACCTTGAACTCCGTGAGTTGAATGCCATAATCACAAAGACGTTTCTGACAATGCTTCTCTCTAGTTTTGAGGTGAAGATATTTCCTTTTCCACCACAGGCCTGAAAGCGCTCCAAACGTCCACTTGGAGACTCTACGAAAAGAATGTTTCAAAACTGCTCTGTGAAAAGCAAGGTTAAAGTCTGGGAGTTGAACATATGCCTCACAAAGAAGTTTCTGAGAAGACATCCGTTTACTCTTTAAGTGAAGATATTCCCGTTTCCAAGGAAATCTTCACAGAGTTCCACCTATCCATGTGCAGATTCCAGAAAAAAGAGAGTTTCGAAACTGCTCTATCCAAAGGAATGTTCAACTCTGTGAGTTGCATGCAATCATCACAGAGAAGTTTCTGAGAAGGCTTCTGTCTGGATTTTATGTGAAGATATACCGATTTCGAACGAAGGCCACAAAGTGCTCCCAATATCCACTTGCAGATCCTACAAAAAGAGTGTTTCAAAGATGAACTATCAAAGGAAGGTTCAACTCTGGACTTTGAATGCGAACGTCACAAACAAGTTTCTGCGAAAGCTTCTGTTTAGTTAGGTGACGTTATCCCGTTTCCAAAGAAATCCTCAGGGAGGTCCAACTGTCCACTTGCAGATTCTACAAAAAGTGTGTTTCAAAACTGCTCCATCCAAAGGAATGTTCCACTCTGTGAGTTCAACTCAATCATCCCAAAGTATTTTCTGCGAATGCTTCTGTCCAGTTTTTACACGAAGCTATTTCCTTTACTACCGTAGGCCTCAAAGCGTTCCAAATCTCCACTTGCAGATACTACGAGAAGAGTGTTTCAACTTGAACTCACAAGGGAATGTTCAACCCCGTGAGTTGAATGCCAACATCACGAAGAAGTTTCTGAGAACGCTTCTGTTTAGTTCTGTGAGGTTTATCCCGTTTCCAAGGAAATCCTCAGAGAAGTCCAAACACCCACTTGCAGATTCTACAAAAAGTGTGTTTCGAAACTGCTCCATCCAAAACAATGTTCAGCTCTGTGGGTTGAACTCAATCGTCACAAAGTGTTTCCTGAGAATGCTGCTGTCTAGTTTTTATGGGCAGTGATTTCCTCTACTGCCATAGGCCTCAAAGCGGTCCAAATCTCCCCTTGCCGATTGAACCAAAAGTGTGTCTCCAAACGGCTCTATCAAAGGGAATGTTCAACTCTGTGACCTGAAAGCAATCATCACAAAGTAGTTTCTGAGAATGCTTCCATCTAGGTTTTATGAGTAGATATTTCCTTTTCCACCACAGGCCTCGAAGCCCTCCAAATGTCCACTTACAGATTCTAGAAAGAGAGGGTTTCAAAGCTGCTCTATCGAAAGGAAATTAGAACTCTGTGAGTAGAATGCAAACATCACCAAGAAGGCTCTGAGCACGCTTCCGTTTAGCTTTTATGGGAAGATTATCCCTTTTCCATCGAAATCTCCAAAGAGCCCCAAATATCCGCTTGCAGGTCCCACTGAAAGAGTGTTTCCGAACTGCTGTATCAAAAGGAACCTTCAACTCCGTGAGTTGAATGCCATCATCACAAAGACGTTTCTGACAATGCTTCTCTCTAGTTTTGAGGTGAAGATATTTCCTTTTCCACCACAGGCCTGAAAGCGCTCCAAACGTCCACTTGGAGATTCTACGAAAAGAATGTTTCAAAACTGCTCTATGAAAAGCAAGGTTAAAGTCTGGGAGTTGAACACATGCCTCACAAAGAAGTTTCTGAGAAAGCATCCGTTTACTCTTTAAGTGAAGATATTCCCGTTTCCAAGGAAATCTTCACAGAGTTCCACCTATCCATATGCAGATTCCAGAAAAAAGAGAGTTTCGAAACTGCTCTATGCAAAGGAATGTTCAACTCTGTGAGTTGCATGCAATCATCACAGAGAAGTTTCTGAGAAGGCTTCTGTCTGGATTTTATGTGAAGATATACCCATTTCGAACGAAGGCCACAAAGTGCTCCCAATATCCACTTGCAGTTCCTACAAAAAGAGTGTTTCAAACGTGAACTATCAAGGGAAGGTTCAACTCTGGACTTTGAATGCAAACGTCACAAAGAAGTTTCTGCGAAAGCTTCTGTTTAGTTAGGTGACGTTATCCCGTTTCCAATGAAATCCTCAGGGAGGTCCAACTGTCCACTTGCAGATTCTACAAAAAGTGTGTTTCAAAAGTGCTCCATCCAAAGGAATGTTCCGCTCTGTGAGTTCAACTCAATCATCCCAAAGTATTTTCTGAGAATGCTTCTGTCCAGTTTTTACACGAAGCTATTTCCTTTACTACCGTAGGCCTCAAAGCGTTCCAAATCTCCACTTGCAGATACTACGAAAAGAGTGTTTCAACTTGAACTCACAAGGGAATGTTCAACCCCGTGAGTTGAATGCCAACATCACGAAGAAGTTTCTGAGAACGCTTCTGTTTAGTTCTGTGAGGTTTATCCCGTTTCCAAGGAAATCCTCAGAGAAGTCCAAACACCCACTTGCAGATTCTACAAAAAGTGTGTTTCGAAACTGCTCCATCCAAAACAATGTTCAGCTCTGTGGGTTGAACTCAATCGTCACAAAGTGTTTCCTGAGAATGCTGCTGTCTAGTTTTTATGGGCAGTGATTTCTTCTACTGCCATAGGCCTCAAAGCGGTCCAAATCTCCCCTTGCCGATTCTACCAAAAGTGTGTTTCCAAACGGCTCTATCAAAGAGAATGTTCAACTCTGTGACCTGAAAGCAATCATCACAAAGAAGTTTCTGAGAATGCTTCCGTCTAGGTTTTATGAGTAGATATTTCCTTTTCCACCACAGGCCTCGAAGCCCTCCAAATGTCCACTTGCAGATTCTAGAAAGAGAGGGTTTCAAAGCTGCTCTATCGAAAGGAAATTACAACTCTGTGAGTTGAATGCAAACATCACCAAGAAGGCTCTGAGCACGCTTCCGTTTAGCTTTTATGGGAAGATTATCCCTTTTCCATCGAAATCTCCAAAGAGCCCCAAATATCCGCTTGCAGGTCCCACTGAAAGAGTGTTTCCGAACTGCTGTATCAAAAGGAACCTTCACCTCCGTGAGTTGAATGCCATCATCACAAAGACGTTTCTGACAATGCTTCTCTCTAGTTTTGAGGTGAAGATATTTCCTTTTCCACCACAGGCCTGAAAGCGCTCCAAACGTCCACTTGGAGACTCTACGAAAAGAATGTTTCAAAACTGCTCTGTGAAAAGCAAGGTTAAAGTCTGGGAGTTGAACATATGCCTCACAAAGAAGTTTCTGAGAAGGCATCCGTTTACTCTTTAAGTGAAGATATTCCCGTTTCCAAGGAAATCTTCACAGAGTTCCACCTATCCATGTGCAGATTCCAGAAAAAAGAGAGTTTCGAAACTGCTCTATCCAAAGGAATGTTCAACTCTGTGAGTTGCATGCAATCATCACAGAGAAGTTTCTGAGAAGGCTTCTGTCTGGATTTTATGTGAAGATATACCCATTTCGAACGAAGGCCACAAAGTGCTCCCAATATCCACTTGCAGATCCTACAAAAAGAGTGTTTCCAACGTGAACTATCAAGGGAAGGTTCAACTCTGGACTTTGAATGCAAACGTCACAAAGAAGTTTCTGCGAAAGCTTCTGTTTAGTTAGGTGACGTTATCCCGTTTCCAACGAAATCCTCAGGGAGGTCCAACTGTCCACTTGCAGATTCTACAAAAAGTGTGTTTCAAAACTGCTCCATCCAAAGGAATGTTCCGCTCTGTGAGTTCAACTCAATCATCCCAAAGTATTTTCTGCGAATGCTTCTGTCCAGTTTTTACACGAAGCTATTTCCTTTACTACCGTAGGCCTCAAAGCGTTCCAAATCTCCACTTGCAGATACTACGAGAAGAGTGTTTCAACTTGAACTCACAAGGGAATGTTCAACCCCGTGAGCTGAATGCCAACATCACGAAGAAGTTTCTGAGAATGCTTCTGTTTAGTTCTGTGAGGTTTATCCCATTTCCAAGGAAATCCTCAGAGAAGTCCAAACACCCACTTGTAGATTCTACAAAAAGTGTGTTTCGAAACTGCTCCATCCAAAACAATGTTCAGCTCTGTGGGTTGAACTCAATCGTCACAAAGTGTTTCCTGAGACTGCTGCTGTCTAGTTTTTATGGGCAGTGATTTCCTCTACTGCCATAGGCCTCAAAGCGGTCCAAATCTCCCCTTGCCGATTCTACCAAAAGTGTGTCTCCAAACGGCTCTATCAAAGGGAATGTTCAACTCTGTGACCTGAAAGTAATCATCACAAAGTAGTTTCTGAGAATGCTTCCGTCTAGGTTTTATGAGTAGATATTTCCTTTTCCACCACAGGCCTCGAAGCCCTCCAAATGTCCACTTGCAGATTCTAGAAAGAGAGGGTTTCAAAGCTGCTCTATCGAAAGGAAATTACAACTCTGTGAGTAGAATGCAAACATCACCAAGAAGGCTCTGAGCACGCTTCCGTTTAGCTTTTATGGGAAGATTATCCCTTTTCCATCGAAATCTCCAAGGAGGTCCAAATATCCGCTTGCAGGTCCCACTGAAAGAGTGTTTCCAAACTGCTGTATCAAAAGGAACCTTCAACTCCGTGAGTTGAATGCCATCATCACAAAGACGTTTCTGACAATGCTTCCCTCTGGTTTTGAGGTGAAGATATTTCCTTTTCCACCACAGGCCTGAAAGCACTCCAAACGTCCACTTGGAGACTCTACGAAAAGAATGTTTCAAAACTACTCTATGAAAAGCAAGGTTAAAGTCTGGGAGTTGAACACATGCCTCACAAAGAAGTTTCTGAGAAGGCATCCGTTTACTCTTTAAGTGAAGATATTCCCGTTTCCAAGGAAATCTTCACAGATTTCCACCTATCCATGTGCAGATTCCAGAAAAAAGAGAGTTTCGAAACTGCTCTATCCAAAGGAGTGTTCAACTCTGTGAGTTGCATGCAATCATCACAGAGAAGTTTCTGAGAAGGCTTCTGTCTGGATTTTATGTGAAGATATACCCATTTCGAACGAAGGCCACAAAGTGCTCCCAATATCCACTTGCAGATCCTACAAAAAGAGTGTTTCCAACGTGAACTATCAAGGGAAGGTTCAACTCTGGACTTTGAATGCAAACGTCACAAAGAAGTTTCTGCGAAAGCTTCTGTTTAGTTAGGTGACGTTAGCCCGTTTCCAACGAAATCCTCGGGGAGGTCCAACTGTCCAATAGCAGATTCTACAAAAAGTGTGTTTCAAAACTGCTCCATCCAAAGGAATGTTCCGCTCTGTGAGTTCAACTCAATCATCCCAAAGTATTTTCTGAGAATGCTTCTGTCCAGTTTTCACACGAAGCTATTTCCTTTACTACCGTAGGCCTCAAAGCGTTCCAAATCTCCAATTGCAGATATTACGAAAAGAGTGTTTCAACTTGGACTCACAAGGGAATGTTCAACCCCGTGAGTTGAATGCCAACATCACGAAGAAGTTTCTGAGAATGCTTCTGTTTAGTTCTGTGAGGTTTATCCCGTTTCCAACGAAATCCTCAGAGAAGTCCAAACACCCACTCGCAGATTCTACAAAAAGTGTGTTTCGAAACTGCTCCATCCAAAACAATGTTCAGTTCTGTGGGTTGAACTCAATCGTCACAAAGTTTTTCCTGAGAATGCTGCTGTCTAGTTTTTATGGGCAGTGCTTTCCTCTACTGCCATAGGCCTCAAAGCGGTCCAAATCTCCCCTTGCCGATTCTACCAAAAGTGTGTCTCCAAACGGCTCTATCAAAGGGAATGCTCAACTCTGTGACCTGAAAGCAGTCATCACAAAGTAGTTTCTGAGAATGCTTCCATCTAGGTTTTATGAGTACATATTTCCTTTTCCAGCACAGGCCTCGAAGCCCTCCAAGTGTCCACTTGCAGATTCTAGAAAGGGAGGGTTTCAAAGCTGCTCTATCGAAAGGAAATTACAACTCTGTGAGTAGAATGCAAACATCACCAAGAAGGCTCTGAGCACGCTTCCGTTTAGCTTTTATGGGAAGATTATCCCTTTTCCATCGAAATCTCCAAAGAGGTCCAAATATCCGCTTGCAGGTCCCACTGAAAGAGTGTTTCCAAACTGCTATATCAAAAGGAACCTTCAACTCCGTGAGTTGAATGCCATCATCACAAAGACGTTTCTGACAATGCTTCTCTCTAGTTTTTATGTGAAGATATTTCCTTTTCCACCACAGGCCTGAAAGCGCTCCAAATGTCCACTTGGAGACTCTACGAAAAGAATGTTTCAAAACTGTTCTATGAAAAGCAAGGTTAAACTCTGGGAGTTGAACACATGCCTCACAAAGAAGTTTCTGAGAAGGCATCTGTTTACTCTTTAAGTGAAGATATTCCCGTTTCCAAGGGAAATCTTCACAGAGTTCCACCTATCCATGTGCAGATTCTAGAAAAAAGAGAGTTTCGAAACTTCTCTATCCAAAGGAATGTTCAACTCTGTGAGTTGCATGCAATCATCACAGAGAAGTTTCTGAGAAGGCTTCTGTCTGGATTTTATGTGAAGATATACCCGTTTCGAACGAAGGCCACAAAGTGCTCCAAATATCCACCTGCAGATCCTACAAAAAGAGTGTTTCAAACGTGAGCTATCGAAGGAAGGTTCAACTCTGGACTTTGAATGCAAACGTCCCAAAGAAGTTTCTGCGAAAGCTTCTGTTTAGTTAGGTGACGTTATCCCGTTTCCAAAGAAATCCTCAGGGAGGTCCAACGGTCCACTTGCAGATTCTACAAAAAGTGTGTTTCAAAACTGCTCCATCCAAAAGAATGTTCCGCTCTGTGAGTTCAATTCAATCATCCCAAAGTATTTTCTGCGAATGCTTCTGTGCAGTTTTTACACGAAGCTATTTCCTTTACTACCGTAGGCCTCAAAGCGTTCCAAATCTCCACTTGCAGATACTACGAAAAGAGTGTTTCAACGTGAAATCACAAGGGAATGTTCAACCCCGTGAGTTGAATGCCAACATCACGAAGAAGTTTCTGAGAATACTTCTGTTTAGTTCTGTGAGGTTTATCCCGTTTCCAACGATATCCTCAGAGAAGTCCAAACACCCACGTGCAGATCCTATAAAAAGTGTGTTTCGAAACTGCTCCATCCAAAACAATGTTCAGCTCTGTGGGTTGAACTCAATCGTCACAAAGTGTTTCCGGAGAATGCTGCTGTCTAGTTTTTATGGGCAGTGATTTCCTCTACTGCCATAGGCCTCAAAGCGGTCCAAATCTCCCCTTGCCGATTCTACCAAAAGTGTGTCTCCAAACAGCTCTATCAAAGGGAATGTTCAACTCTGTGACCTGAAAGCAATCATCACAAAGTAGTTTCTGAGAATGCTTCCATCTAGCTTTTATGAGTAGATAGTTCCTTTTCCACCACAGGCCTCGAAGCCCTCCAAATGTCCACTTGCAGGTTCTAGAAAGAGAGGGTTTCAAAGCTGCTCTGTCGAAAGGAAAGTACAACTCTGTGAGTTGAATGCAAACATCACCAAGAAGGCTCTGAGCACGCTTCCGTTTAGCTTTTATGGGAAGATTATCCCTTTTCCATCGAAATCTCCAAAGAGGTCCAAATATCCGCTTGCAGGTCCCACTGAAAGAGTGTTTCCAAACTGCTGTATCAAAAGGAACCTTGAACTCCGTGAGTTGAATGCCATAATCACAAAGACTTTTCTGACAATGCTTCTCTCTAGTTTTGAGGTGAAGTATATTTCCTTTTCCACCACAGGCCTGAAAGCGCTCCAAACGTCCACTTGGAGACTCTACGAAAAGAATGTTTCAAAACTGCCCTATGAAAAGCAAGGTTAAATTCTGGGAGTTGAACACATGCCTCACAAAGAAGTTTCTGAGAAGGCATCCGTTTACTCTTTAAGTGAAGATATTCCCGTTTCCAAGGAAATCTTCACAGAGTTCCACCTATCCATGTGCAGATTCCAGAAAAAAGAGAGTTTCGAAACTGCTCTATCCAAAGGAATGTTCAACTCTGTGAGTCGCATGCAATCATCACAGAGAAGTTTCTGAGAAGGCTTCTGTCTGGATTTTATGTGAAGATATACCCATTTCGAACGAAGGCCACAAAGTGCTCCCAATATCCACTTGCAGATCCTACAAAAAGAGTGTTTCCAACGTGAACTATCAAGGGAAGGTTCAACTCTGGACTTTGAATGCAAACGTCACAAAGAAGTTTCTGCGAAAGCTTCTGTTTAGTTAGGTGACGTTATCCCGTTTCCAAAGAAATCCTCAGGGAGGTCCAACTGTCCACTTGCAGATTCTACAAAAAGTGTGTTTCAAAACTGCTCCATCCAAAGGAATGTTCCACTCTGTGAGTTCAACTCAATCATCCCAAAGTATTTTCTGCGAATGCTTCTGTCCAGTTTTTACACGAAGCTATTTCCTTTACTACCGTAGGCCTCAAAGCGTTCCAAATCTCCACTTGCAGATACTACGAGAAGAGTGTTTCAACTTGAACTCACAAGGGAATGTTCAACCCCGTGAGTTGAATGCCAACATCACGAAGAAGTTTCTGAGAATGCTTCTGTTTAGTTCTGTGAGGTTTATCCCGTTTCCAAGGAAATCCTCAGAGAAGTCCAAACACCCACTTGCAGATTCTACAAAAAGTGTGTTTCGAAACTGCTCCATCCAAAACAATGTTCAGCTCTGTGGGTTGAACTCAATCGTCACAAAGTGTTTCCTGAGAATGCTGCTGTCTAGTTTTTATGGGCAGTGATTTCCTCTACTGCCATAGGCCTCAAAGCGGTCCAAATCTCCCCTTGCCGATTCTACCAAAAGTGTGTTTCCAAACGGCTCTATCAAAGGGAATGTTCAACTCTGTGACCTGAAAGCAATCATCACAAAGTAGTTTCTGAGAATGCTTCCATCTAGCTTTTATGAGTAGATAGTTCCTTTTCCACCACAGGCCTCGAAGCCCTCCAAATGTCCACTTGCAGGTTCTAGAAAGAGAGGGTTTCAAAGCTGCTCTGTCGAAAGGAAAGTACAACTCTGTGAGTTGAATGCAAACATCACCAAGAAGGCTCTGAGCACGCTTTCCGTTTAGCTTTTATGGGAAGATTATCCCTTTTCCATCGAAATCTCCAAAGAGGTCCAAATATCCGCTTGCAGGTCCCACTGAAAGAGTGTTTCCAAACTGCTGTATCAAAAGGA
Organism: Homo sapiens; assembly: GCF_000001405.40. NCBI lineage: Eukaryota > Metazoa > Chordata > Mammalia > Primates > Hominidae > Homo > Homo sapiens. The sequence continues at coordinate 124,824,015 of NC_000001.11, read as the reverse complement.
ACCTTCAACTCCGTGAGTTGAATGCCATCATCACAAAGACGTTTCTGACAATGCTTCTCTCTAGTTTTGAGGTGAAGATATTTCCTTTTCCACCACAGGCCTGAAAGCGCTCCAAACGTCCACTTGGAGACTCTACGAAAAGAATGTTTCAAAACTGCTCTGTGAAAAGCAAGGTTAAAGTCTGGGAGTTGAACATATGCCTCACAAAGAAGTTTCTGAGAAGGCATCTGTTTACTCTTTAAGTGAAGATATACCCGTTTCCAAGGAAACCTTCACAGAGTTCCACCTATCCACGTGCAGATTCCAGAAAAAAGAGAGTTTCGAAACTGCTCTATACAAAGGAATGTTCAACTCTGTGAGTTGCACGCCATCATCACAGAGAAGTTTCTGAGAAGGCTTCTGTCTGGATTTTATGTGAAGATATACCCATTTCGAACAAAGGCCACAAAGTGCTCCCAATATCCACTTGCAGATCCCACAAGAAGAGTGTTTCAAACGTGAACTATCAAAGGAAGATTCAACTCCGGACTTTGAATGCAAACGTCACAAAGAAGTTTCTGCGAAAGCTTCTGTTTAGTTAGGTGACGTTATCCCGTTTCCAACGAAATCCTCAAGGAGGTGCAACTGTCCACTTGCAGATTCTACAAAAAGTGTGTTTCAAAACTGCTCCATCCAAAGGAATGTTCCGCTCTGTGAGTTCAACTCAATCATCCCAAAGTATTCTCTGAGAATGCTTCTGTCCAGTTTTTACACGAAGCTATTTCCTTTACTACCGTAGGCCTCAAAGCATTCCAAATCTCCACTTGCAGATACTACTAAAAGAGTGTTTCAACTTGAACTCACAAGGGAATGTTCAACCCCGTGAGTTGAATGCCAACATCACGAAGAAGTTTCTGAGAATACTTCGGTTTAGTTCTGTGAGGTTTCTCCCGTTTCCAACGAAATCCTCAGAGAAGTCCAAACACCCACTTGCAGATTCTACAAAAAGTGTGTTTCGAATCCTCTCCATCCAAAACAATGTTCAGCTCTGTGGGTTGAACTCAATCGTCACAAAGTGTTTCCTGAGAATGCTGCTGTCTAGTTTTTATGTGGCAGTGATTTCCTCTACTGCCATAGGCCTCAAAGCGGTCCAAATCTCCCCTTGCCGATTCTACCAAAAGTGTGTTTCCAAACGGCTCTATCAAAGGGAATGTTCAACTCTGTGACCTGAAAGCAATCATCACAAAGTAGTTTCTGAGAATGCTTCCATCTAGCTTTTATGAGTAGATAGTTCCTTTTCCACCACAGGCCTCGAAGCCCACCAAATGTCCACTTGCAGATTCTAGAAAGAGAGGGTTTCAAAGCTGCTCTGTCGAAAGGAAAGTACAACTCTGTGAGTTGAATGCAAACATCACCAAGAAGGCTCTGAGCACGCTTCCGTTTAGCTTTTATGGGAAGATTATCCCTTTTCCATCGAAATCTCCAAACAGGTCCAAATATCCGCTTGCAGGTCCCACTGAAAGAGTGTTTCCAAACTGCTGTATCAAAAGGAACCTTGAACTCCGTGAGTTGAATGCCATAATCACAAAGACTTTTCTGACAATGCTTCTCTCTAGTTTTGAGGTGAAGATATTTCCTTTTCCACCACAGGCCTGAAAGCGCTCCAAACGTCCACTTGGAGACTCTACGAAAAGAATGTTTCAAAACTGCTCTGTGAAAAGCAAGGTTAAAGTCTGGGAGTTGAACATATGCCTCTCAAAGAAGTTTCTGAGAAGGCATCCGTTTACTCTTTAAGTGAAGATATTCCCGTTTCCAAGGAAATCTTCACAGAGTTCCACCTATCCATGTGCAGATTCCAGAAAAAAGAGAGTTTCGAAACTGCTCTATCCAAAGGAATGTTCAACTCTGTGAGTTGCATGCAATCATCACAGAGAAGTTTCTGAGAAGGCTTCTGTCTGGATTTTATGTGAAGATATACCCATTTCGAACGAAGGCCACAAAGTGCTCCCAATATCCACTTGCAGATCCTACAAAAAGTGTGTTTCAAACGTGAACTGTCAAAAGAAGTTTCAACTCTGGACTTTGAATGCAAACGTCACAAAGAAGATTCTGTGAAAGCTTCTGTTTAGTTAGGTGACGTTATCCCGTTTCCAACGAAATCCTCAGGGAGGTCCAACTGTCCACTTGCAGATTCTACAAAAAGTGTGTTTCAAAACTGCTCCATCCAAAGGAATGTTCCGCTCTGTGAGTTCAACTCAATCATCCCAAAGTATTTTCTGCGAATGCTTCTGTCCAGTTTTTACACGAAGCTATTTCCTTTACTACCGTAGGCCTCAAAGCGTTCCAAATCTCCACTTGCAGATACTACGAGAAGAGTGTTTCAACTTGAACTCACAAGGGAATGTTCAACCCCGTGAGTTGAATGCCAACATCACGAAGAAGTTTCTGAGAACGCTTCTGTTTAGTTCTGTGAGGTTTATCCGGTTTCCAACGAAATCCTCAGAGAAGTCCAAACACCCACTCGCAGATTCTACAAAAAGTGTGTTTCGAAACTGCTCCATCCAAAACAATGTTCAGCTCTGTGGGTTGAACTCAATCGTCACAAAGTGTTTGCTGAGAATGCTGCTGTCTATTTTTTATGGGCAGTGATTTCCTCTACTGCCATAGGCCTCAAAGCGGTCCAAATCTCCCCTTACCGATTCTACCAAAAGTGTGTTTCCAAACGGCTCTATCAAAGGGAATGTTCAACTCTATGACCTGGAAGTAATCATCACAAAGTAGTTTCTGAGAATGCTTCCATCTAGCCTTTATGAGTAGATATTTCCTTTTCCACCACAGGCCTCGAAGCCCTCCAAATGTCCACTTGCAGATTCTAGAAATAGAGGGTTTCATAGCTGCTCTATCTAAAGGAAAGTACAACTCCGTGAGTTGAATGCAAACATCACAAAGAAGGCTCTGAGCATACTTCCGTTTAGCTTTTATGGGAAGATTATCCCTTTTCCATCGAAATCTCCAAAGAGGTCCAAATATCCGCTTGCAGATCCCACTCAAAGAGTGTTTCCAAACTGCTGTATCAAAAGGAACCTTCAGCTCCGTGAGTTGAATGCCATAATCATAAAGACGTTTCTGACAATGCTTCTCTCTAGTTTTTAGGTGAAGATATTTCCTTTTCCACCACAGGCCTGAAAGCGCTCCAAACGTCCACTTGGAGACACTACGAAAAGAATGTTTCAAAACTGCTGTATGAAAAGCAAGGTTAAATTCTGGGAGTTGAACACATGCCTCACAAAGAAGTTTCTGAGAAGGCATCTGTTTACTCTTTAAGTGAAGATATTCCCGTTTCCAAGGAAATCTTCACAGAGTTCCACCTATCCATGTGCAGATTCTAGAAAAAAGAGAGTTTCGAAACTGCTCTATCCAAAGGAATGTTCAACTCTGTGAGTTGCATGCAATCATCACAGAGAAGTTTCTGAGAAGCCTTCTGTCTGGATTTTATGTGAAGATATACCGATTTCGAACGAAGGCCACAAAGTGCTCCCAATATCCACTTGCAGATCCTACAAAAAGAGTGTTTCAAAGATGAACTATCAAAGGAAGGTTCAACTCTGGACTTTGAATGCGAACGTCACAAACAAGTTTCTGCGAAAGCTTCTGTTTAGTTAGGTGACGTTAGCCCGTTTCCAACGAAATCCTCGGGGAGGTCCAACTGTCCAATAGCAGATTCTACAAAAAGTGTGTTTCAAAACTGCTCCATCCAAAGGAATGTTCCGCTCTGTGAGTTCAACTCAATCATCCCAAAGTATTTTCTGAGAATGCTTCTGTCCAGTTTTCACACGAAGCTATTTCCTTTACTACCGTAGGCCTCAAAGCGTTCCAAATCTCCAATTGCAGATATTACGAAAAGAGTGTTTCAACTTGGACTCACAAGGGAATGTTCAACCCCGTGAGTTGAATGCCAACATCACGAAGAAGTTTCTGAGAATGCTTCTGTTTAGTTCTGTGAGGTTTATCCCGTTTCCAACGAAATCCACAGAGAAATCCAAACACCCACTTGCAGATTCTACAAAAAGTGTGTTTCGAAACTGCTCCATCCAAAACAATGTTCAGCTCTGTGGGTTGAACTCAATCGTCACAAAGTGTTTCCTGAGAATGCTGCTGTCTAGTTTTTATGGGCAGTGATTTCCTCTACTGCCATAGGCCTCAAAGCGGTCCAAATCTCCCCTTGCCGATTCTACCAAAAGTGTGTTTCCAAACGGCTCTATCAAAGGGAATGTTCAACTCTGTGACCTGAAAGCAATCATCACAAAGTAGTTTCTGAGAATGCTTCCATCTAGCTTTTATGAGTAGATAGTTCCTTTTCCACCACAGGCCTCGAAGCCCACCAAATGTCCACTTGCAGATTCTAGAAAGAGAGGGTTTCAAAGCTGCTCTGTCGAAAGGAAAGTACAACTCTGTGAGTTGAATGCAAACATCACCAAGAAGGCTCTGAGCACGCTTCCGTTTAGCTTTTATGGGAAGATTATCCCTTTTCCATCGAAATCTCCAAAGAGGTCCAAATATCCGCTTGCAGGTCCCACTGAAAGAGTGTTTCCAAACTGCTGTATCAAAAGGAACCTTCAACTCCGTGAGTTGAATGCCATCATCACAAAGACGTTTCTGACAATGCTTCTCTCTGGTTTTGAGGTGAAGATATTTCCTTTTCCACCACAGGCCTGAAAGCGCTCCAAACGTCCACTTGGAGACTCTACGAAAAGAATGTTTCAAAACTGCTCTATGAAAAGCAAGGTTGAAGTCTGGGAGTTGAACACAGGTCTCAGAAAGAAGTTTCTGAGAAGGCATCCGTTTACTCTTTAAGTGAAGATATTCCCGTTTCCAAGGAAATCTTCACAGAGTTCCACCTATCCATGTGCAGATTCCAGAAAAAAGAGAGTTTCGAAACTGCTCTACCCAAAGGAATGTTCAACTCTGTGAGTTGCATGCAATCATCACAGAGAAGTTTCTGAGAAGGCTTCTGTCTGGATTTTATGTGAAGATATACCCATTTCGAACGAAGGCCACAAAGTGCTCCCAATATCCACTTGCAGATCCTACAAAAAGAGTGTTTCAACCGTGAACTGTCAAAGGAAGTGTCAAATCTGGACTTTGAATGCAAACGTCACAAAGAAGTTTCTGCGAAAGCTTCTGTTTAGTTAGGTGACGTTATCCCGTTTCCAACGAAATCCTCAGGGAGGTCCAACTGTCCACTTGCAGATTCTACAAAAAGTGTGTTTCAAAACTGCTCCATCCAAAGGAATGTTCCGCTCTGTGAGTTCAACTCAATCATCCCAAAGTATTTTCTGCGAATGCTTGTGTTCAGTTTTTACACGAAGCTATTTCCTTTACTACCGTAGGCCTCAAAGCGTTCCAAATCTCCACTTGCAGATACTACGAAAAGAGTGTTTCAACTTGAACTCACAAGGGAATGTTCAACCCCGTGAGTTGAATGCCAACATCACGAAGAAGTTTCTGAGAATGCTTCTGTTTAGTTCTGTGAGGTTTATCCCGTTTCCAAGGAAATCCTCAGAGAAGTCCAAACACCCACTTGCAGATTCTACAAAAAGTGTGTTTCGAAACTGCTCCATCCAAAACAATGTTCAGCTCTGTGAGTTGAACTCAATCGTCACAAAGTGTTTCCTGAGAATGCTGCTGTCTAGTTTTTATGGGCAGTGATTTCCTCTACTGCCATAGGCCTCAAATCGGTCCAAATCTCCCCTTGCCGATTCTGCCAAAAGTGTGTTTCCAAACAGCTCTATCAAAGGGAATGTTCAACTCTGTGACCTGAAAACAATCATCACAAAGTAGTTTCTGAGAATGCTTCCATCTAGCTTTTATGAGTAGATATTTCCTTTTCCAACACAGGCCTCGAAGCCCTCTAAATGTCCACTTGCAGATTCTAGAAAGAGAGGGTTTCAAAGCTGCTCTATCGAAAGGAAAGTACAACTCTGTGAGTTGAATGCAAACATCACCAAGAAGGATCTGAGCACGCTTCCGTTTAGCTTTTATGGGGAGATTATCCCTTTTCCATCGAAATCTCCAAAGAGGTCCAAATATCCGCTTGCAGGTCCCACTGAAAGAGTGTTTCCAAACTGCTGTATCAAAAGGAACCTTCAACTCCGTGAGTTGAATGCCATCATCACAAAGTCGTTTCTGACAATGCTTCTCTCTAGTTTTGAGGTGAAGATATTTCCTTTTCCACCACAGGCCTGAAAGCGCTCCAAACGTCCACTTGGAGACTCTACGAAAAGAATGTTTCAAAACTGCTCTGTGAAAAGCAAGGTTAAAGTCTGGGAGTTGAACATATGCCTCACAAAGAAGTTTCTGAGAAGGCATCCGTTTACTCTTTAAGTGAAGATATTCCCGTTTCCAAGGAAATCTTCACAGAGTTCCACCTATCCATGTGCAGATTCCAGAAAAAAGAGAGTTTCGAAACTGCTCTATCCAAAGGAATGTTCAACTCTGTGAGTTGCATGCAATCATCACAGAGAAGTTTCTGAGAAAGCTTCTGTCTGGATTTTATGTGAAGATATACCCATTTCGAACGAAGGCCACAAAGTGCTCCCAATATCCACTTGCAGATCCTACAAAAAGTGTGTTTCAAACGTGAACTGTCAAAAGAAGTTTCAACTCTGGACTTTGAATGCAAACGTCACAAAGAAGATTCTGTGAAAGCTTCTGTTCAGTTAGGTGACGTTATCCCGTTTCCAACGAAATCCTCAGGGAGGTCCAACTGTCCACTTGGAGATTCTACAAAAAGTGTGTTTCAAAACTGCTCCATCCAAAGAAATGTTCCGCTCTGTGAGTTCAACTCAATCATCCCAAAGTATTTTCTGAGAATGCTTCTGTCCAGTTTTTACAAGAAGCTATTTCCTTTACTACCGCAGGCCTCAAAGCGTTCCAAATCTCCACTTGCAGATACTACGAAAAGAGTGATTCAACTTGAACTCACAAGGGAATGTTCACCCCCGTGAGTTGAATGCCAACATCACGAAGAAGTTTCTGAGAATGCTTCTGTTTAGTTCTGTGAGGTTTATCCCGTTTCCAACGAAATCCTCAGAGAAGCCCAAACACCCACTTGCAGATTCTACAAAAAGTGTGTTTCGAAACTGCTCCATCCAAAACAATGTTCAGCTCTGTGGGTTGAACTCAATCGTCACAAAGTGTTTCCTGAGAATGCTGCTGTCTAGTTTTTATGGGCAGTGATTTCCTCTACTGCCATAGGCCTCAAAGCGGTCCAAATCTCCCCTTGCCGATTGAACCAAAAGTGTGTCTCCAAACGGCTCTATCAAAGGGAATGTTCAACTGCTGTGACCTGAAAGCAATCATCACAAAGTAGTTTCTGAGAATGCTTCCATCTAGCTTTTATGAGTAGATAGTTCCTTTTCCACCACAGGCCTCGAAGCCCTCCAAATGTCCACTTGCAGATTCTAGAAAGAGAGGGTTTCAAAGCTGCTCTGTCGAAAGGAAAGTACAACTCTGTGAGTTGAATGCAAACATCACCAAGAAGGCTCTGAGCACGCTTCCCGTTTAGCTTTTATGGGAAGATTATCCCTTTTCCATCGAAATCTCCAAAGAGCCCCAAATATCCGCTTGCAGGTCCCACTGAAAGAGTGTTTCCAAACTGCTGTATCAAAAGGAACCTTCAACTCCGTGAGTTGAATGCCATCATCACAAAGACGTTTCTGACAATGCTTCTCTCTAGTTTTGAGGTGAAGATATTTCCTTTTCCACCACAGGCCTGAAAGCGCTCCAAACGTCCACTTGGAGACTCTACGAAAAGAATGTTTCAAAACTGCTCTATGAAAAGCAAGGTTAAAGTCTGGGAGTTGAACACATGCCTCACAAAGAAGTTTCTGAGAAGGCATCCGTTTACTCTTTAAGTGAAGATATTCCCGTTTCCAAGGAAATCTTCACAGAGTTCCACCTATCCATGTGCAGATTCCAGAAAAAAGAGAGTTTCGAAACTGCTCTACCCAAAGGAATGTTCAACTCTGTGAGTTGCATGCAATCATCACAGAGAAGTTTCTGAGAAGGCTTCTGTCTGGATTTTATGTGAAGATATACCCATTTCGAACGAAGGCCACAAAGTGCTCCCAATATCCACTTGCAGATCCTACAAAAAGAGTGTTTCAACCGTGAACTGTCAAAGGAAGTTTCAAATCTGGACTTTGAATGCAAACGTCACAAAGAAGTTTCTGCGAAAGCTTCTGTTTAGTTAGGTGACGTTATCCCGTTTCCAACGAAATCCTCAGGGAGGTCCAACTGTCCACTTGCAGATTCTACAAAAAGTGTGTTTCAAAACTGCTCCATCCAAAGGAATGTTCCGCTCTGTGAGTTCAACTCAATCATCCCAAAGTATTTACTGCGAATGCTTCTGTCCAGTTTTTACACGAAGCTATTTCCTTTACTTCCGTAGGCCTCAAAGCGTTCCAAATCTCCACTTGCAGATACTACGAAAAGAGTGTTTCAACTTGAACTCACAAGGCAATGTTCAACCCCGTGAGTTGAATGCCAACATCACGAAGAAGTTTCTGAGAATGCTTCTGTTTAGTTCTGTGAGGTTTATCCCGTTTCCAACGAAATCCACAGAGAAATCCAAACACCCACTTGCAGATTCTACAAAAAGTGTGTTTCGAAACTTCTCCATCCAAAACAATGTTCAGCTCTGTGGGTTGAACTCAATCGTCACAAAGTGTTTCCTGAGAATGCTGCTGTCTAGTTTTTATGGGCAATGATTTCCTCTACTGCCATAGGCCTCAATGCGGTCCAAATCTCCCCTTGCAGATTCTACCAAAAGTGTGTTTCCAAACGGCTCTATCAAAGGGAATGTTCAACTCTGTGACCTGAAAGCAATCATCACAAAGTAGTTTCTGAGAATGCTTCCATCTAGGTTTTATGAGTAGATATTTCCTTTTCCACCACAGGCCTCGAAGCCCTCCAAATGTCCTCTTGCAGATTCTAGAAAGAGAGGGTTTCAAAGCTGCCCTATCGAAAGGAAATTACAACTCTGTGAGTAGAATGCAAACATCACCAAGAAGGCTCTGAGCACGCTTCCGTTTAGCTTTTATGGGAAGATTATCCCTTTTCCATCGAAATCTCCAAAGAGGTCCAAATACCCGCTTGCAGGTCCCACTGAAAGCGTGCTTCCAAACTGCTGTATCAAAAGGAACCTTCAACTACGTGAGTTGAATGCCATCATCACAAAGACGTTTCTGACAATGCTTCTCTCTAGTTTTGAGGTGAAGATATTTCCTTTTCCACCACAGGCCTGAAAGCGCTCCAAACGTCCACTTGGAGACTCTACGAAAAGAATGTTTCAAAACTGCTCTATGAAAAGCAAGGTTGAAGTCTGGGAGTTGAACACATGCCTCACAAAGGAGTTTCTGAGAAGGCATCTGTTTACTCTTTAAGTGAAGATATTCCCGTTTCCAAGGAAATCTTCACAGAGTTCCACCTATCCATGTGCAGATTCTAGAAAAAAGAGAGTTTCGAAACTTCTCTATCCAAAGGAATGTTCAACTCTGTGAGTTGCATGCAATCATCACAGAGAAGTTTCTGAGAAGGCTTCTGTCTGGATTTTATGTGAAGATATACCCATTTCGAACGAAGGCCACAAAGTGCTCCCAATATCCACTTGCAGGTCCTACAAAAAGGGTGTTTCAAACGTGAACTGTCAAAGGGAGTTTCAACTCTGGACTTTGAATGCAAACGTCACAAAGAAGATTCTGCAAAAGCTTCTGTTCAGTTAGGTGACGTTATCCCGTTTCCAACGAAATCCTCAGGGAGGTCCAACTGTCCACTTGCAGATTCTACAAAAAGTGTGTTTCAAAACTGCTCCATCCAAAGGAATGTTCCGCTCTGTGAGTTCAACTCAATCATCCCAAAGTATTTTCTGCGAATGCTTCTGTCCAGTTTTTACACGAAGCTATTTCCTTTACTACCGTAGGCCTCAAAGAGTTCCAAATCTCCACTTGCAGATACTATGAAAAGAGTGTTTCAACTTGAACTCACAAGGGAATGTTCAACCCCGTGAGTTGAATGCCCACCTCACGAAGAAGTTTCTGAGAATGCTTCTGTTTAGTTCTGTGAGGTTTATCCCGTTTCCAACGAAATCCACAGAGAAATCCAAACACCCACTTGCAGATTCTACAAAAAGTGTGTTTCGAAACTGCTCCATCCAAAACAATGTTCAGCTCTGTGGGTTGAACTCAATCGTCACAAAGTGTTTCCTGAGAATGCTGCTGTCTAGTTTTTATGGGCAGTGATTTCCTCTACTGCCATAGGCCTCAAAGCGGTCCAAATCTCCCCTTGCCGATTCTACCAAAAGTGTGTTTCCAAACGGCTCTATCAAAGGGAATGTTCAACTCTGTGACCTGAAAGCAATCATCACAAAGTAGGTTCTGAGAATGCTTCCATCTAGCTTTTATGAGTAGATATTTCCTTTTCCACCACAGGCCTCGAAGCCCTTTAAATGTCCACTTGCAGATTCTAGAAAGAGAGGGTTTCAAAGCTGCTCTATCGAAAGGAAAGTACAACTCTGTGAGTTGAATGCAAACATCACAAAGAAGGCTATGAGCACGCTTCCGTTTAGCTTTTATGGGAAGATTATCTCTTTTCCATCAAAATCTCCAAAGAGGTCCAAATAACCGCTTGCAGGTCCCACTGAAAGAGTGTTCCCAAACTGCTGTATCAAAAGGAACCTTCAACTCCGTGAGTTGAATGCCATCATCACAAAGACGTTTCTGACAATGCTTCTCTCTAGTTTTGAGGTGAAGATATTTCCTTTTCCACCACAGGCCTGAAAGCGCTCCAAACGTCCACTTGGAGACTCTACGAAAAGAATGTTTCAAAACTGCTCTGTGAAAAGCAAGGTTAAAGTCTGGGAGTTGAACATATGCCTCACAAAGAAGTTTCTGAGAAGGCATCCGTTTACTCTTTAAGTGAAGATATTCCCGTTTCCAAGGAAATCTTCACAGAGTTCCACCTATCCATGTGCAGATTCCAGAAAAAAGAGAGTTTCGAAACTGCTCTATCCAAAGGAATGTTCAACTCTGTGAGTCGCATGCAATCATCACAGAGAAGTTTCTGAGAAGGCTTCTGTCTGGACTTTATGTGAAGATATACCCATTTCGAACGAAGGCCACAAAGTGCTCCCAATATCCACTTGCAGATCCTACAAAAAGAGTGTTTCCAACGTGAACTATCAAGGGAAGGTTCAACTCTGGACTTTGAATGCAAACGTCACAAAGAAGTTTCTGCGAAAGCTTCTGTTTAGTTAGGTGACGTTATCCCGTTTCCAAAGAAATCCTCAGGGAGGTCCAACTGTCCACTTGCAGATTCTACAAAAAGTGTGTTTCAAAACTGCTCCATCCAAAGGAATGTTCCGCTCTGTGAGTTCAACTCAATCATCACAAAGTATTTTCTGCGAATGCTTCTGTCCAGTTTTTACACGAAGCTATTTCCTTTACTACCGTAGGCCTCAAAGCGTTCCAAATCTCCACTTGCAGATACTACGAGAAGAGTGTTTCAACTTGAACTCACAAGGGAATGTTCAACCCCGTGAGTTGAATGCCAACATCACGAAGAAGTTTCTGAGAACGCTTCTGTTTAGTTCTGTGAGGTTTATCCCGTTTCCAAGGAAATCCTCAGAGAAGTCCAAACACCCACTTGCAGATTCTACAAAAAGTGTGTTTCGAAACTGCTCCATCCAAAACAATGTTCAGCTCTCTGGGTTGAACTCAATCGTCACAAAGTGTTTCCTGAGAATGCTGCTGTCTAGTTTTTATGGGCAGTGATTTCCTCTACTGCCATAGGCCTCAAAGCGGTCCAAATCTCCCATTGCCGATTCTACCAAAAGTGTGTCTCCAAACGGCTCTATCAAAGGGAATGTTCAACTCTGTGACCTGAAAGCAATCATCACAAAGTAGTTTCTGAGAATGCTTCCATCTAGCTTTTATGAGTAGATAGTTCCTTTTCCTCCACAGGCCTCGAAGCCCACCAAATGTCCACTTGCAGATTCTAGAAAGAGAGGGTTTCAAAGCTGCTCTGTCGAAAGGAAAGTACAACTCTGTGAGTTGAATGCAAACATCACCAAGAAGGCTCTGAGCACGCTTCCGTTTAGCTCTTATGGGAAGATTATCCCTCTTCCATCGAAATCTCCAAAGAGGTCCAAATATCCGCTTGCAGGTCCCACTGAAAGAGTGTTTCCAAACTGCTATATCAAAAGGAACCTTCAACTCCGTGAGTTGAATGCCATCATCACAAAGACGTTTCTGACAATGCTTCTCTCTAGTTTTGAGGTGAAGATATTTCCTTTTCCACCACAGGCCTGAAAGCGCTCCAAACGTCCACTTGGAGACTCTACGAAAAGAATGTTTCAAAACTGCTCTATGGAAAGCAAGGTTAAAGTCTGGGAGTTGAACACATGCCTCACAAAGAAGTTTCTGAGAAGGCATCCGTTTACTCTTTAAGTGAAGATATTCCCGTTTCCAAGGAAATCTTCACAGAGTTCCACCTATCCATGTGCAGATTCCAGAAAAAAGAGAGTTTCGAAACTGCTCTACCCAAAGGAATGTTCAACTCTGTGAGTTGCATGCAATCATCACAGAGAAGTTTCTGAGAAGGCTTCTGTCTGGATTTTATGTGAAGATATACCCATTTCGAACGAAGGCCACAAAGTGCTCCCAATATCCACTTGCAGATCCTACAAAAAGAGTGTTTCCAACGTGAACTATCAAGGGAAGGTTCAACTCTGGACTTTGAATGCAAACGTCACAGAGAAGTTTCTGCGAAAGCTTCTGTTTAGTTAGGTGACGTTATCCCGTTTCCAAAGAAATCCTCAGGGAGGTCCAACTGTCCACTTGCAGATTCTACAAAAAGTGTGTTTCAAAACTGCTCCATCCAAAGGAATGTTCCACTCTGTGAGTTCAACTCAATCATCCCAAAGTATTTTCTGCGAATGCTTCTGTCCAGTTTTTACACGAAGCTATTTCCTTTACTACCGTAGGCCTCAAAGCGTTCCAAATCTCCACTTGCAGATACTACGAGAAGAGTGTTTCAACTTGAACTCACAAGGGAATGTTCAACCCCGTGAGTTGAATGCCAACATCACGAAGAAGTTTCTGAGAATGCTTCTGTTTAGTTCTGTGAGGTTTATCCCATTTCCAAGGAAATCCTCAGAGAAGTCCAAACACCCACTTGCAGATTCTACAAAAAGTGTGTTTCGAAACTGCTCCATCCAAAACAATGTTCAGCTCTGTGGGTTGAACTCAATCGTCACAAAGTGTTTCCTGAGAATGCTGCTGTCTAGTTTTTATGGGCAGTGATTTCCTCTACTGTCATAGGCCTCAAAGCGGTCCAAATCTCCCCTTGCCAATTTTACCAAAAGTGTGTTTCCAAACGGCTCTATCAAAGGGAATGTTCAACTCTGTGACCTGAAAGCACTCATCACAAAGTAGTTTCTGAGAACGCTTCCATCTAGCTTTTATGAGTAGATAGTTCCTTTTCCACCACAGGCCTCGAAGCCCTCCAAATGTCCACTTGCAGATTCTAGAAAGAGAGGGTTTCAAAGCTGCTCTGTCGAAAGGAAAGTACAACTCTGTGAGTTGAATGCAAACATCACCAAGAAGGCTCTGAGCACGCTTCCGTTTAGCTCTTATGGGAAGATTATCCCTCTTCCATCGAAATCTCCAAAGAGGTCCAAATATCCGCTTGCAGGTCCCACTGAAAGAGTGTTTCCAAACTGCTATATCAAAAGGAACCTTCAACTCCGTGAGTTGAATGCCATCATCACAAAGACGTTTCTGACAATGCTTCTCTCTAGTTTTGAGGTGAAGATATTTCCTTTTCCACCACAGGCCTGAAAGCGCTCCAAACGTCCACTTGGAGACTCTACGAAAAGAATGTTTCAAAACTGCTCTATGGAAAGCAAGGTTAAAGTCTGGGAGTTGAACACATGCCTCACAAAGAAGTTTCTGAGAAGGCATCCGTTTACTCTTTAAGTGAAGATATTCCCGTTTCCAAGGAAATCTTCACAGAGTTCCACCTATCCATGTGCAGATTCCAGAAAAAAGAGAGTTTCGAAACTGCTCTATCCAAAGGAATGTTCAACTCTGTGAGTTGCATGCAATCATCACAGAGAAGTTTCTGAGAAGGCTTCTGTCTGGATTTTATGTGAAGATATACCCATTTCGAACGAAGGCCACAAAGTGCTCCCAATATCCACTTGCAGATCCTACAAAAAGAGTGTTTCCAACGTGAACTATCAAGGGAAGGTTCAACTCTGGACTTTGAATGCAAACGTCACAAAGAAGTTTCTGCGAAAGCTTCTGTTTAGTTAGGTGACGTTATCCCGTTTCCAAAGAAATCCTCAGGGAGGTCCAACTGTCCACTTGCAGATTCTACAAAAAGTGTGTTTCAAAACTGCTCCATCCAAAGGAATGTTCCGCTCTGTGAGTTCAACTCAATCATCCCAAAGTATTTTCTGCGAATGCTTCTGTCCAGTTTTTACACGAAGCTATTTCCTTTACTACCGTAGGCCTCAAAGCGTTCCAAATCTCCACTTGCAGATACTACGAAAAGAGTGTTTCAACTTGAACTCACAAGGGAATGTTCAACCCCGTGAGTTGAATGCCAACATCACGAAGAAGTTTCTGAGAACGCTTCTGTTTAGTTCTGTGAGGTTTATCCCGTTTCCAACGAAATCCACAGAGAAATCCAAACACCCACTTGCAGATTCTACAAAAAGTGTGTTTCGAAACTTCTCCATCCAAAACAATGTTCAGCTGCTGTGGGTTGAACTCAATCGTCACAAAGTGTTTCCTGAGAATGCTGCTGTCTAGTTTTTATGGGCAGTGATTTCCTCTACTGCCATAGGCCTCAAATCGGTCCAAATCTCCCCTTGCCAATTCTGCCAAAAGTGTGTTTCCAAACGGCTCTATCAAAGGGAATGTTCAACTCTGTGACCTGAAAACAATCATCACAAAGTAGTTTCTGAGAATGCTTCCATCTAGCTTTTATGAGTAGATATTTCCTTTTCCACCACAGGCCTCGAAGCCCTTTAAATGTCCACTTGCAGATTCTAGAAAGAGAGGGTTTCAAAGCTGCTCTATCGAAAGGAAAGTACAACTCTGTGAGTTGAATGCAAACATCACAAAGAAGGCTATGAGCACGCTTCCGTTTAGCTTTTATGGGAAGATTATCCCTTTTCCATCGAAATCTCCAAGGAGGTCCAAATATCCGCTTGCAGGTCCCACTGAAAGAGTGTTTCCAAACTGCTGTATCAAAAGGAACCTTCAACTCCGTGAGTTGAATGCCATCATCACAAAGACGTTTCTGACAATGCTTCTCTCTAGTTTTGAGGTGAAGATATTTCCTTTTCCGCCACAGGCCTGAAAGCGCTCCAAACGTCCACTTGGAGACTCTACGAAAAGAATGTTTCAAAACTGCTCTATGAAAAGCAAGGTTAAAGTCTGGGAGTTGAACACATGCCTCACAAAGAAGTTTCTGAGAAGGCATCCGTTTACTCTTTAAGTGAAGATATTCCCGTTTCCAAGGAAATCTTCACAGAGTTCCACCTATCCATGTGCAGATTCCAGAAAAAAGAGAGTTTCGAAACTGCTCTATCCAAAGGAATGTTCAACTCTGTGAGTCGCATGCAATCATCACAGAGAAGTTTCTGAGAAGGCTTCTGTCTGGATTTTATGTGAAGATATACCCATTTCGAACGAAGGCCACAAAGTGCTCCCAATATCCACTTGCAGATCCTACAAAAAGAGTGTTTCCAACGTGAACTATCAAGGGAAGGTTCAACTCTGGACTTTGAATGCAAACGTCACAAAGAAGTTTCTGCGAAAGCTTCTGTTTAGTTAGGTGACGTTATCCCGTTTCCAACGAAATCCTCAGGGAGGTGCAACTGTCCACTTGCAGATTCTACAAAAAGTGTGTTTCAAAACTGCTCCATCCAAAGGAATGTTCCGCTCTGTGAGTTCAACTCAATCATCCCAAAGTATTTTCTGCGAATGCTTCTGTCCAGTTTTTACAAGAAGCTATTTCCTTTACTACCGTAGGCCTCAAAGCGTTCCAAATCTCCACTTGCAGATACTACGAAAAGAGTGTTTCAACTTGAACTCACAAGGGAATGTTCAACCCCGTGAGTTGAATGCCAACATCACGAAGAAGTTTCTGAGAATGCTTCTGTTTAGTTCTGTGAGGTTTATCCCGTTTCCAACGAAATCCTCAGAGAAGTCCAAATACCCACTTGCAAATTCCAAAAAAGTGTTTTTCGAAACTGCTCCATCCAAAGCAATGTTCAGCTCTGTGGGTTGAACTCAATCGTCACAAAGTGTTTCCTGAGAATGCTGCTGTCTAGTTTTTATGGGCAGTGATTTCCTCTACTGCCATAGGCCTCAAAGCGGTCCAAATCTCCCCTTGCAGATTCTACCAAAAGTGTGTTTCCAAACGGCTCTATCAAAGGGAATGTTCAACTCTGTGACCTGAAAGCAATCATCACAAAGTAGTTTCTGAGAATGCTTCCATTTACGTTTTATGAGTAGATATTTCCTTTTCCACCACAGGCCTCGAAGCCCTCCAAATGTCCACTTGCAGATTCTAGAAAGAGAGGGTTTCAAAGCTGCTCTATGGAAAGGAAATTACAACTCTGTGAGTAGAATGCAAACATCACCAAGAAGGCTCTGAGCATGCTTCCGTTTAGCTTTTATGGGAAGATTATCCCCTTTCCATCGAAATCTCCAAAGAGCTCCAAATATCCGCTTGCAGGTCCCACTGAAAGAGTGTTTCCAAACTGCTGTATCAAAAGGAACCCTCAACTCCGTGAGTGGAATGCCATCATCACAAAGACGTCTCTGACAATGCTTCTCTCTGGTTTTGAGGTGAAGATATTTCCTTTTCCACCACAGGCCTGAAAGCGCTCCAAACGTCCACTTGGAGACTCTACGAAAAGAATGTTTCAAAACTGCTCTATGAAAAGCAAGGTTGAAGTCTGCGAGTTGAACACATGCCTCACAAAGAAGTTTCTGAGAAGGCATCTGTTTACTCTTTAAGTGAAGATATTCCCGTTTCCAAGGAAATCTTCACAGAGTTCCACCTATCCATGTGCAGATTCTAGAAAAAAGAGAGTTTCGAAACTTCTCTATCCAAAGGAATGTTCAACTCTGTGAGTTGCATGCAATCATCACAGAGAAGTTTCTGAGAAGGCTTCTGTCTGGATTTTATGTGAAGATATACCCATTTCGAACGAAGGCCACAAAGTGCTCCCAATATCCACTTGCAGATCCTACAAAAAGAGTGTTTCAAACGTGAACTGTCAAAGGAAGTTTCAACTCTAGACTTTGAATGCAAACGTCACAAAGAAGATTCTGCAAAAGCTTCTGTTTAGTTAGGTGACGTTATCCCGTTTCCAACGAAATCCTCAGGGAGGTCCAACTGTCCACTTACAGATTCTACAAAAAGTGTGTTTCAAAACTGCTCCATCCAAAGGAATGTTCCGCTCTGTGAGTTCAACTCAATCATCCCAAAGTATTTTCTGTGAATGCTTCTGTCCAGTTTTTACACGAAGCTATTTCCTTTACTACCGTAGGCCTCAAAGCATTCCAAATCTCCACTTGCAGATACTACGAAAAGAGTGTTTCAACTTGAACTCACAAGGGAATGTTCAACCCCGTGAGTTGAATGCCAACATCACGAAGAAGTTTCTGAGAATGCTTCTGTTTAGTTCTGTGAGGTTTATCCCGTTTCCAACGAAATCCACAGAGAAATCCAAACACCCACTGGCAGATTCTACAAAAAGTGTGTTTCGAAACTGCTCCATCCAAAACAATGTTCAGCTCTGTGGGTTGAACTCAATCGTCACAAAGTGTTTCCTGAGAATGCTGCTGTCTAGTTTTTATGGGCAGTGATTTCCTCTACTGCCATAGGCCTCAAAGCGGTCCAAACCTCCCCTTGCCGATTCTACCAAAAGCGTGTTTCCAAACGGCTCTATCAAAGGGAATGTTCAACTCTGTGACCTGAGAGCAATCATCACAAAGTAGTTTCTGAGAATGCTTCCATCTAGCTTTTATGAGTAGATAGTTCCTTTTCCACCACAGGCCTCGAAGCCCTCCAAATGTCCACTTGCAGATTCTAGAAAGAGAGGGTTTCAAAGCTGCTCTGTCGAAAGGAAAGTACAACTCTGTGAGTTGAATGCAAACATCACCAAGAAGGCTCTGAGCACGCTTCCGTTTAGCTTTTATGGGAAGATTATCCCTTTTCCATCGAAATCTCCAAAGAGCTCCAAATATCCGCTTGCAGGTCCCACTGAAAGAGTGTTTCCAAACTGCTGTATCAAAAGGAACCTTCAACTCCGTGAGTTGAATGCCATAATCACAAAGACGTTTCTGACAATGCTTCTCTCTAGTTTTGAGGTGAAGATATTTCCTTTTCCGCCACAGGCCTGAAAGCGCTCCAAACGTCCACTTGGAGACTCTACGAAAAGAATGTTTCAAAACTGCTCTATGAAAAGCAAGGTTAAAGTCTGGGAGTTGAACACATGCCTCACAAAGAAGTTTCTGAGAAGGCATCCGTTTACTCTTTAAGTGAAGATATTCCCGTTTCCAAGGAAATCTTCACAGAGTTCCACCTATCCATGTGCAGATTCCAGAAAAAAGAGAGTTTCGAAACTGCTCTATCCAAAGGAATGTTCAACTCTGTGAGTTGCATGCAATCATCACAGAGAAGTTTCTGAGAAAGCTTCTGTCTGGATTTTATGTGAAGATATACCCATTTCGAACGAAGGCCACAAAGTGCTCCCAATATCCACTTGCAGATCCTACAAAAAGAGTGTTTCCAACGTGAACTATCAAGGGAAGGTTCAACTCTGGACTTTGAATGCAAACGTCACAAAGAAGTTTCTGCGAAAGCTTCTGTTTAGTTAGGTGACGTTATCCCGTTTCCAACGAAATCCTCAGGGAGGTCCAACTATCCACTTGCAGATTCTACAAAAAGTGTGTTTCAAAACTGCTCCATCCAAAGGAATGTTCCGCTCTGTGAGTTCAACTCAATCATCACAAAGTATTTTCTGCGAATGCTTGTGTTCAGTTTTTACACGAAGCTATTTCCTTTACTACCGTAGGCCTCAAAGCGTTCCAAATCTCCACTTGCAGATACTACGAAAAGAGTGTTTCAACTTGAACTCACAAGGGAATGTTCAACCCCGTGAGTTGAATGCCAACATCACGAAGAAGTTTCTGAGAATGCTTCTGTTTAGTTCTGTGAGGTTTATCCCGTTTCCAAGGAAATCCTCAGAGAAGTCCAAACACCCACTTGCAGATTCTACAAAAAGTGTGTTTCGAAACTGCTCCATCCAAAACAATGTTCAGCTCTGTGGGTTGAACTCAATCGTCACAAAGTGTTTCCTGAGAATGCTGCTGTCTAGTTTTTATGGGCAGTGATTTCCTCTACTGCCATAGGCCTCAAAGCGGTCCAAATCTCCCCTTGCCGATTCTACCAAAAGTGTGTCTCCAAACGGCTCTATCAAAGGGAATGTTCAACTCTGTGACCTGAAAGCAATCATCACAAAGTAGTTTCTGAGAATGCTTCCATCTAGCTTTTATGAGTAGATAGTTCCTTTTCCACCACAGGCCTCGAAGCCCACCAAATGTCCACTTGCAGATTCTAGAAAGAGAGGGTTTCAAAGCTGCTCTGTCGAAAGGAAAGTACAACTCTGTGAGTTGAATGCAAACATCACCAAGAAGGCTCTGAGCACGCTTCCGTTTAGCTTTTATGGGAAGATTATCCCTTTTCCATCGAAATCTCCAAAGAGCCCCAAATATCCGCTTGCAGGTCCCACTGAAAGAGTGTTTCCAAACTGCTGTATCAAAAGGAACCTTCAACTCCGTGAGTTGAATGCCATCATCACAAAGACGTTTCTGACAATGCTTCTCTCTAGTTTTGAGGTGAAGATATTTCCTTTTCCACCACAGGCCTGAAAGCGCTCCAAACGTCCACTTGGAGACTCTACGAAAAGAATGTTTCAAAACTGCTCTATGAAAAGCAAGGTTAAAGTCTGGGAGTTGAACACATGCCTCACAAAGAAGTTTCTGAGAAGGCATCCGTTTACTCTTTAAGTGAAGATATTCCCGTTTCCAAGGAAATCTTCACAGAGTTCCACCTATCCATGTGCAGATTCCAGAAAAAAGAGAGTTTCGAAACTGCTCTATCCAAAGGAATGTTCAACTCTGTGAGTTGCATGCAATCATCACAGAGAAGTTTCTGAGAAGGCTTCTGTCTGGATTTTATGTGAAGATATACCCATTTCGAACGAAGGCCACAAAGTGCTCCCAATATCCACTTGCAGATCCTACAAAAAGAGTGTTTCCAACGTGAGCTATCAAGGGAAGGTTCAACTCTGGACTTTGAATGCAAACGTCACAAAGAAGTTTCTGCGAAAGCTTCTGTTTAGTTAGGTGACGTTATCCCGTTTCCAAAGAAATCCTCAGGGAGGTCCAACTGTCCACTTGCAGATTCTACAAAAAGTGTGTTTCAAAACGGCTCCATCCAAAGGAATGTTCCGCTCTGTGAGTTGAACTCAATCATCCCAAAGTATTTTCTGCGAATGCTTCTGTCCAGTTTTTACACGAAGCTATTTCCTTTACTACAGTAGGCCTCAAAGCGTTCCAAATCTCCACTTGCAGATACTACGAAAAGAGTGTTTCAACTTGAACTCACAAGGGAATGTTCAACCCCGTGAGTTGAATGCCAACATCACGAAGAAGTTTCTGAGAATGCTCTGTTTAGTTCTGTGAGGTTTATCCCGTTTCCAACGAAATCCACAGAGAAATCCAAACACCCACTGGCAGATTCTACAAAAAGTGTGTTTCGAAACTGCTCCATCCAAAACAATATTCAGCTCTGTGGGTTGAACTCAATCGTCACAAAGTGTTTCCTGAGAATGCTGGCTGTCTATTTTTTATGGGCAGTGATTTCCTCTACTGCCATAGGCCTCAAAGCGGTCCAAATCTCCCCTTACCGATTCTACCAAAAGTGTGTTTCCAAACGGCTCTATCAAAGGGAATGTTCAACTCTATGACCTGGAAGTAATCATCACAAAGTAGTTTCTGAGAATGCTTCCATCTAGCTTTTATGAGTAGATAGTTCCTTTTCCACCACAGGCCTCGAAGCCCTCCAAATATCCACTTGCAGATTCTCGAAAGAGAGGTATTCAAAGCTGCTCTATCGAAAGGAAAGTACAAATCTGTGAGTTGAATGCAAACATCGCCAAGAAGGCTCTGAGCACGCTTCCGTTTAGCTTTTATGGAAAGATTATACCTTTTCCATCGAAATCTCAAAAGAGTTCAAATATCAGCTTGCAGGTCCCACTGAAAGGGTGTTTCCAAACTGCTGTATCAAAAGGAACCTTCAACTCCGTGAGTTGAATGCCATCATCACAAAGACGTTTCTGACAATGCTTCTCTCTAGTTTTGAGGTGAAGATATTTCCTTTTCCACCACAGGCCTGAAAGCGCTCCAAACGTCCACTTGGAGACTCTACGAAAAGAATGTTTCAAAACTGCCCTATGAAAAGCAATGTTAAATTCTGGGAGTTGAACACATGCCTCACAAAGAAGTTTCTGAGAAGGCATCTGCTTACTCTTTAAGTGAAGATATTCCCGTTTCCAAGGAAATCTTCACCGAGTTCCACCTATCCATGTGCAGATTCTAGAAAAAAGAGAGATTCGAAACTGCTCTATCCAAAGGAATGTTCAACTCTGTGAGTTGCACGCAGTCATCACAGAGAAGTTGCTGAGAAGGCTTCTGTCTGGATTTTCTGTGAAGATATACCCATGTCGAACGAAGGCCACAAAGTGCTCCCAATATCCACTTGCAGAACCTACAAAAAGAGTGTTTCAAACGTGAACTGTGAAAGGAAGGTTCAACTCCGGACTTTGAATGCAAACGTCACAAAGAAGTTTCTGTGAAAGCTTCTGTTTAGTTAGGTGACGTTATCCCGTTTCCAATGAAATCCTCAGGGAGGTCCAACTGTCCACTTGCAGATTCTACAAAAAGTGTGTTTCAAAAGTGCTCCATCCAAAGGAATGTTCCGCTCTGTGAGTTCAACTCAATCATCCCAAAGTATTTTCTGAGAATGCTTCTGTCCAGTTTTTACACGAAGGTATTTCCTTTACTACCGTAGGCCTCAAAGCGTTCCAAATCTCCACTTGCAGATACTACGAAAAGAGTGTTTCAACTTGAACTCACAAGGGAATGTTCAACCCCGTGAGTTGAATGCCTACATCACGAAGAAGTTTCTGAGAATGCTTCTGTTTAGTTCTGTGAGGTTTATGCTGTTTCCAACGAAATCCTCAGAGAAGTCCAAACACCCACTTGCAGATTCTACAAAAAGTGTGTTTCGAAACTGCTCCATCCAAAACAATGTTCAGCTCTGTGGGTTGAACTCAATCGTCACAAAGTGTTTCCTGAGAATGCTGCTGTCTAGTTTTTATGGGCAGTGATTTCCTCTACTGCCATAGGCCTCAAAGCGGTCCAAATCTCCCCTTGCCGATTCTACCAAAAGTGTGTCTCCAAACAGCTCTATCAAAGGGAATGTTCAACTCTGTGACCTGAAAGCAATCATCACAAAGTAGTTTCTGAGAATGCTTCCATCTAGGTTTTATGAGTAGATATTTCCTTTTCCACCACAGGCCTCGAAGCCCTCCAAATGTCCACTTACAGATTCTAGAAAGAGAGGGTTTCAAAGCTGCTCTATCGAAAGGAAATTAGAACTCTGTGAGTAGAATGCAAACATCACCAAGAAGGCTCTGAGCACGCTTCCGTTTAGCTTTTATGGGAAGATTATCCCTTTTCCATCGAAATCTCCAAGGAGGTCCAAATATCCGCTTGCAGGTCCCACTGAAAGAGTGTTTCCAAACTGCTGTATCAAAAGGAACCTTCAACTCCGTGAGTTGAATGCCATCATCACAAAGACGTTTCTGACAATGCTTCCCTCTGGTTTTGAGGTGAAGATATTTCCTTTTCCACCACAGGCCTGAAAGCACTCCAAACGTCCACTTGGAGACTCTACGAAAAGAATGTTTCAAAACTACTCTATGAAAAGCAAGGTTAAAGTCTGGGAGTTGAACACATGCCTCACAAAGAAGTTTCTGAGAAGGCATCCGTTTACTCTTTAAGTGAAGATATTCCCGTTTCCAAGGAAATCTTCACAGAGTTCCACCTATCCATGTGCAGATTCCAGAAAAAAGAGAGTTTCGAAACTGCTCTATGCAAAGGAATGTTCAACTCTGTGAGTTGCATGCAATCATCACAGAGAAGTTTCTGAGAAGGCTTCTGTCTGGATTTTATGTGAAGATATACCCATTTCGAACGAAGGCCACAAAGTGCTCCCAATATCCACTTGCAGATCCTACAAAAAGAGTGTTTCCAACGTGAACTATCAAGGGAAGGTTCAACTCTGGACTTTGAATGCAAACGTCACAAAGAAGTTTCTGCGAAAGCTTCTGTTTAGTTAGGTGACGTTATCCCGTTTCCAACGAAATCCTCAGGGAGGTCCAACTGTCCACTTGCAGATTCTACAAAAAGTGTGTTTCAAAGCTGCTCCATCCAAAGGAATGTTCCGCTCTGTGAGTTCAACTCAATCATCTCGAAGTATTTTCTACGAATGCTTCTGTCCAGTTTTTAAAAGAAGCTATTTCCTTTACTACCGTAGGCCTCAAAGCGTTCCAAATCTCCACTTGCAGATACTACGAAAAGAGTGTTTCAACTTGAACTCACAAGGGAATGTTCAACCCCGTGAGTTGAATGCCAACATCATGAAGAAGTTTCTGAGAATGCTTCTGTTTAGTTCTGTGAGGTTTCTCCCGTTTCCAACGAAATCCTCAGAGAAGTCCAAACACCCACTTGCAGATTCTACAAAAAGTGTGTTTCGAATCCTCTCCATCCAAAACAATGTTCAGCTCTGTGGGTTGAACTCAATCGTCACAAAGTGTTTCCTGAGAATGCTGCTGTCTAGTTTTTATGGGCAGTGATTTCCTCTACTGCCATAGACCTCAAAGCGGTCCAAATCTCCCCTTGCCGATTCTACCAAAAGTGTGTTTCCAAACGGCTCTATCAAAGGGAATGTTCAACTATGTGACATGAAAAAAATCATCACAAAGTAGTTTCTGAGAATGCTTCCATCTAGCTTTTATGAGTAGATAGTTCCTTTTCCACCACAGGCCTCGAAGCCCTCCAAATGTCCACTTGCAGATTCTAGAAAGAGAGGGTTTCAAAGCTGCTCTGTCGAAAGGAAAGTACAACTCTGTGAGTTGAATGCAAACATCACCAAGAAGGCTCTGAGCACGCTTCCGTTTAGCTTTTATGGGAAGATTATCCCTTTTCCATCGAAATCTCCAAAGAGCCCCAAATATCCGCTTGCAGGTCCCACTGAAAGAGTGTTTCCGAACTGCTGTATCAAAAGGAACCTTCACCTCCGTGAGTTGAATGCCATCATCACAAAGACGTTTCTGACAATGCTTCTCTCTAGTTTTGAGGTGAAGATATTTCCTTTTCCACCACAGGCCTGAAAGCGCTCCAAACGTCCACTTGGAGACTCTACGAAAAGAATGTTTCAAAACTGCCCTATGAAAAGCAAGGTTAAATTCTGGGAGTTGAACACATGCCTCACAAAGAAGTTTCTGAGAAGGCATCCGTTTACTCTTTAAGTGAAGATATTCCCGTTTCCAAGGAAATCTTCACAGAGTTCCACCTATCCATGTGCAGATTCCAGAAAAAAGAGAGTTTCGAAACTGCTCTATCCAAAGGAATGTTCAACTCTGTGAGTTGCATGCAATCATCACAGAGAAGTTTCTGAGAAGGCTTCTGTCTGGATTTTCTGTGAAGATATACCCATGTCGAATGAAGGCCACAAAGTGCTCCCAATATCCACTTGCAGATCCTACAAAAAGAGTGTTTCAAACGTGAACTATCAAAGGAAGGTTCAACTCTGGACTTTGAATGCAAACGTCACAAAGAAGTTTCTGCGAAAGCTTCTGTTTAGTTAGGTGACGTTATCCCGTTTCCAACGAAATCCTCAGAGAGGTCCAAATATCCACTTGCAGATGCTACAAAAAGTGTGTTTCAAAACTGCTCCATCCAAAGGAATGTTCAGCTCTGTGAGTTACACTCAATCATCACAAAGTATTTTCTGAGAATGCTTCTGTCCAGTTTTTACTCGAAGCTATTTCCTTTACTACCGTAGGCCACAAAGCGTTCCAAATCTCCACTTGCAGATACTACGAAAAGAGTGTTTCAACTTGAACTCACAAGGGACGGTTCAACTCTGTGAGTTGAATGCCAACATCACGAAGAAGTTCCTGACAATGCTTCTGTTTAGTTCTGTGAGGTTTATCCCGTTTCCAACGAAATCCACAGAGAAATCCAAACACCCACTTGCAGATTCTACAAAAAGTGTGTTTCGAAACTTCTCCATCCAAAACAATGTTCAGCTCTGTGGGTTGAACTCAATCGTCACAAAGTGTTTCCTGAGAATGCTGCTGTCTAGTTTTTATGGGCAGTGATTTCCTCTACTGCCATAGGCCTCAAAGCGGTCCAAATCTCCCCTTGCCGATTCTACCAAAAGTGTGTTTCCAAACGGCTCTATCAAAGGGAATGTTCAACTCTGTGACCTGAAAGCAATCATCACAAAGTAGTTTCTGAGAATGCTTCCATCTAGGTTTTATGAGTAGATATTTCCTTTTCCACCACAGGCCTCGAAGCCCTCCAAATGTCCACTTACAGATTCTAGAAAGAGAGGGTTTCAAAGCTGCTCTATCGAAAGGAAATTAGAACTCTGTGAGTAGAATGCAAACATCACCAAGAAGGCTCTGAGCACGCTTCCGTTTAGCTTTTATGGGAAGATTATCCCTTTTCCATCGAAATCTCCAAGGAGGTCCAAATATCCGCTTGCAGGTCCCACTGAAAGAGTGTTTCCAAACTGCTGTATCAAAAGGAACCTTCAACTCCGTGAGTTGAATGCCATCATCACAAAGACGTTTCTGACAATGCTTCTCTCTGGTTTTGAGGTGAAGATATTTCCTTTTCCACCACAGGCCTGAAAGCGCTCCAAACGTCCACTTGGAGACTCTACGAAAAGAATGTTTCAAAACTGCTCTATGAAAAGCAAGGTTGAAGTCTGGGAGTTGAACACATGCCTCACAAAGAAGTTTCTGAGAAGGCATCCGTTTACTCTTTAAGTGAAGATATTACCGTTTCCAAGGAAATCTTCACAGAGTTCCACCTATCCATGTGCAGATTCCAGAAAAAAGAGAGTTTCGAAACTGCTCTACCCAAAGGAATGTTCATCTATGTGAGTTGCATGCAATCATCACAGAGAAGTTTCTGAGAAGGCTTCTGTCTGGATTTTATGTGAAGATATAACCATTTCGAACGAAGGCCACATAGTGCTCCCAATATCCACTTGCAGATCCTACAAAAAGAGTGTTTCAACCGTGAACTGTCAAAGGAAGTTTCAAATCTGGACTTTGAATGCAAACGTCACAAAGAAGTTTCTGCGAAAGCTTCTGTTTAGTTAGGTGACGTTATCCCGTTTCCAACGAAATCCTCAGGGAGGTCCAACTGTCCACTTGCAGATTCAACAAAAAGTGTGTTTCAAAACTGCTCCATCCAAAGGAATGTTCCGCTCTGTGAGTTCAACTCAATCATCCCAAAGTATTTTCTGCGAATGCTTCTGTCCAGTTTTTACAAGAAGCTATTTCCTTTACTACCGTAGGCCTCAAAGCGTTCCAAATCTCCACTTGCAGATACTACGAAAAGAGTGTTTCAACTTGAACTCACAAGGGAATGTTCAACCCCGTGAGTTGAATGCCAACATCACGAAGAAGTTTCTGAGAATGCTTCTGTTTAGTTCTGTGAGGTTTATCCCGTTTCCAACGAAATCCACAGAGAAATCCAAACACCCACTTGCAGATTCTACAAAAAGTGTGTTTCGAAACTGCTCCATCCAAAACAATGTTCAGCTCTGTGGGTTGAACTCAATCGTCACAAAGTGTTTCCTGAGAATGCTGCTGTCTAGTTTTTATGGGCAGTGATTTCCTATACTGCCATAGGCCTCAAAGCGGTCCAAATCTCCCCTTGCCGATTCTACCAAAAGTGTGTTTCCAAACGGCTCTATCAAAGGGAATGTTCAACTCTGTGACCTGAAAGCAATCATCACAATGTAGTTTCTGAGAATGATTCCATCTAGCTTTTATGAGTAGATATTTCCTTTTCCACCACAGGCCTCGAAGCCCTCCAAATGTCCACTTGCAGATTCTAGAAAGAGAGGGTTTCAAAGCTGCTCTATCAAAAGGAAAGTACAACTCTGGGAGTTGAATGCAAACATCACAAAGTAGTCTCTGAGCATGCTTCCGTTTAGCTTTTATGGGAAGATTATCCCTTTTCCATCGAAATCTCCAAAGAGGTCCAAATATCCGCTTGCAGGTCCCACTGAAAGAGTGTTTCCAAACTGCTGTATCAAAAGGAACCTTGAACTCCGTGAGTTGAATGCCATAATCACAAAGACGTTTCTGACAATGCTTCTCTCTCTAGTTTTGAGGTGAAGATATTTCCTTTTCCACCACAGGCCTGAAAGCGCTCCAAACGTCCACTTGGAGACTCTACGAAAAGAATGTTTCAAAACTGCTCTGTGAAAAGCAAGGTTAAAGTCTGGGAGTTGAACATATGCCTCACAAAGAAGTTTCTGAGAAGGCATCCGTTTACTCTTTAAGTGAAGATATTCCCGTTTCCAAGGAAATCTTCACAGAGTTCCACCTATCCATGTGCAGATTCCAGAAAAAAGAGAGTTTCGAAACTGCTCTATGCAAAGGAATGTTCAACTCTGTGAGTTGCATGCAATCATCACAGAGAAGTTTCTGAGAAGGCTTCTGTCTGGATTTTATGTGAAGATATACCCGTTTCGAACGAAGGACACAAAGTGCTCCAAATATCCACTAGCAGATCCTACAAAAAGAGTGTTTCAAACGTGAGCTATCGAAGGAAGGTTCAACTCTGGACTTTGAATGCAAACGTCCCAAAGAAGTTTCTGCGAAAGCTTCTGTTTAGTTAGGTGACGTTATCCCGTTTCCAACGAAATCCTCAGGGAGGTCCAACTATCCACTTGCAGATTCTACAAAAAGTGTGTTTCAAAACTGCTCCATCCAAAGGAATGTTCCGCTCTGTGAGTTCAACTCAATCATCACAAAGTATTTTCTGCGAATGCTTCTGTCCAGTTTTTACACGAAGCTATTTCCTTTACTACCGTAGGCCTCAAAGCGTTCCAAATCTCCACTTGCAGATACTACGAGAAGAGTGTTTCAACTTGAACTCACAAGGGAATGTTCAACCCCGTGAGTTGAATGCCAACATCATGAAGAAGTTTCTGAGAACGCTTCTGTTTAGTTCTGTGAGGTTTATCCCGTTTCCAACGAAATCCTCAGAGAAGCCCAAACACCCACTTGCAGATTCTACAAAAAGTGTGTTTCGAAACTGCTCCATCCAAAACAATGTTCAGCTCTGTGGGTTGAACTCAATCGTCACAAAGTGTTTCCTGAGAATGCTGCTGTCTAGTTTTTATGGGCAGTGATTTCCTCTACTGCCATAGGCCTCAAAGCGGTCCAAATCTCCCCTTGCCGATTCTACCAAAAGTGTGTCTCCAAACAGCTCTATCAAAGGGAATGTTCAACTCTGTGACCTGAAAGCAATCATCACAAAGTAGTTTCTGAGAATGCTTCCATCTAGCTTTTATGAGTAGATAGTTCCTTTTCCACCACAGGCCTCGAAGCCCACCAAATGTCCACTTGCAGATTCTAGAAAGAGAGGGTTTCAAAGCTGCTCTGTCGAAAGGAAAGTACAACTCTGTGAGTTGAATGCAAACATCACCAAGAAGGCTCTGAGCACGCTTCCGTTTAGCTTTTATGGGAAGATTATCCCTTTTCCATCGAAATCTCCAAAGAGCCCCAAATATCCGCTTGCAGGTCCCACTGAAAGAGTGTTTCCGAACTGCTGTATCAAAAGGAACCTTCAACTCCGTGAGTTGAATGCCATCATCACAAAGACGTTTCTGACAATGCTTCTCTCTAGTTTTTAGGTGAAGATATTTCCTTTTCCACCACAGGCCTGAAAGCGCTCCAAACGTCCACTTGGAGACTCTACGAAAAGAATGTTTCAAAACTGCTCTATGAAAAGCAAGGTTAAATTCTGGGAGTTGAACACATGACTCACAAAGAAGTTTCTGAGAAGGCATCTGTTTACTCTTTAAGTGAAGATATTCCCGTTTCCAAGGAAATCTTCACAGAGTTCCACCTATCCATGTGCAGATTCTAGGAAAAAGAGAGTTTCGAAACTGCTCTATCCAAAGGAATGTTCAACTCTGTGAGTTGCATGCAATCATCACAGAGAAGTTTCTGAGAAGCCTTCTGTCTGGATTTTATGTTAAGATATACCCATTTCGAACGAAGGCCACAAAGTACTCCCAATATCCACTTGCAGATCCTACAAAAAGAGTGTTTCAAACGTGAACTGTCAAAGGGAGTTTCTACTCTGGACTTTGAATGCAAACGTCACAAAGAAGATTCTGCAAAAGCTTCTGTTTAGTTAGGTGACGTTATCCCGTTTCCAAAGAAATCCTCAGGGAGGTCCAACTGTCCACTTGCAGATTCTACAAAAAGTGTGTTTCAAAACTGCTCCATCCAAAAGAATGTTCCGCTCTGTGAGTTCAACTCAATCATCCCAAAGTATTTTCTGCGAATGCTTCTGTCCAGTTTTTACTCGAAGCTATTTCCTTTACTACCGTAGGCCACAAAGCGTTCCAAATCTCCACTTGCAGATACTACGAAAAGAGTGTTTCAACCTGAACTCACAAGGGACGGTTCAACTCTCTAAGTTGAATGCCAACATCACGAAGAAGTTCCTGACAATGCTTCTGTTTAGTTAGGTGAGGTTTATCCCGTTTCCAACGAAATCCTTAGAGAAGTCCAAATATCTACTTGCAGATCCTACAAAAAGTGTGTTTCGAAACTGCTCCATCCAAAGGAATGTTCAGCTCTGTGAGTTGAACTCAATCGTCACAAAGTGTTTCCTGAGAATGCTACTGTCTAGTTTTTATGGGCAGTGATTTCCTCTACTGCCATAGGCTTCAAAGTGGTCCAAATCTCCCCTTGCAGATTCTACCAAAAGTGTGTTTCCAAACGGCTCTACCAAAGGGAATGTTCAACTCTGTGACTTGAAAGGAATCATCAAAATGTAGTTTCGGAGAATGCTTCCATCTAGCTTTTATGAGTAGATAGTTCCTTTTCCACCACAGGCCTCGAAGCCCTCCAAATGTCCACTTGCAGATTCTAGAAAGAGAGGGTTTCAAAGCTGCTCTGTCGAAAGGAAAGTACAACTCTGTGAGTTGAATGCAAACATCACCAAGAAGGCTCTGAGCACGCTTCCGTTTAGCTTTTATGGGAAGATTATCCCTTTTCCATCGAAATCTCCAAAGAGGTCCAAATATCCACTTGCAGATCCCACTGAAAGAGTGTTTCCAAACTGCTGTATCAAAAGGAACCTTCAACTCCGGGAGTTGAATGCCATCATCACAAAGACGTTTCTGACAATGCCTCTCTCTAGTTTTTAGGTGAAGACATTTCCTTTTCCACCACAGGCCTGAAAGCGCTCCAAACGTCCACTTGGAGACTCTACGAAAAGAATGTTTCAAAACTGCCCTATGAAAAGCAAAGTTAAATTCTGGGAGTTGAACACATGCCTCACAAAGAAGTTTCTGAGAAGGCATCTGTTTACTCTTTAAGTGAAGATATTCCCGTTTCCAAGGAAATCTTCACAGAGTTCCACCTATCCATGTGCAGATTCCAGAAAAAAGAGAGTTTCGAAACTGCTCTACCCAAAGGAATGTTCAACTCTGTGAGTTGCATGCAATCATCACAGAGAAGTTTCTGAGAAGGCTTCTGTCTGGATTTTATGTGAAGATATACCCATTTCGAACGAAGGCCACAAAGTGCTCCCAATATCCACTTGCAGATCCTACAAAAAGAGTGTTTCAACCGTGAACTGTCAAAGGAAGTTTCAAATCTGGACTTTGAATGCGAACGTCACAAAGAAGATTCTGCAAAAGCTTCTGTTTAGTTAGGTGACGTTATCCCGTTTCCAACGAAATCCTCAGGGAGGTCCAACTGTCCACTTGCAGATTCTACAAAAAGTGTGTTTCAAAACTGCTCCATCCAAAGGAATATTCCGCTCTGTGAGTTCAACTCAATCATCCCAAAGTATTTTCTGCGAATGCTTCTGTCCAGTTTTTACACGAAGCTATTTCCGTTACTTCCGTAGGCCTCAAAGCGTTCCAAATCTCCACTTGCAGATAC
This sequence comes from Homo sapiens, assembly GCF_000001405.40. Classification (NCBI taxonomy): domain Eukaryota; kingdom Metazoa; phylum Chordata; class Mammalia; order Primates; family Hominidae; genus Homo; species Homo sapiens. Next base: position 124,792,598 of record NC_000001.11, on the reverse strand, counting down.
TACGAAAAGAGTGTTTCAACTTGAACTCACAAGGGAATGTTCAACCCCTTGAGTTGAATGCCAACATCACGAAGAAGTTTCTGAGAATGCTTCTGTTTAGTTCTGTGAGTTTTATCCCGTTTCCAACGAAATCCACAGAGAAATCCAAACACCCACTGGCAGATTCTACAAAAAGTGTGTTTCGAAACTGCTCCATCCAAAACAATGTTCAGCTCTGTGGGTTGAACTCAATCGTCACAAAGTGTTTCCTGAGAATGCTGCTGTCTAGTTTTTATGGGCAGTGTTTTAATCTACTGCCATAGGCTTCAAAGCGGTCCAAATCTCCCCTTGCCGATTCTACCAAAAGTGTGTTTCCAAACGGCTCTATCAAAGGGAATGTTCAGCTCTGTGACCTGAAAGCAATCATCACAAAGTAGTTTCTGAGAATGCTTCCGTCTAGGTTTTATGAGTAGATATTTCCTTTTCCACCACAGGCCTCGAAGCCCTCCAAATGTCCACTTGCAGATTCTAGAAAGAGAGGGTTTCAAAGCTGCTCTATCGAAAGGAAATTACAACTCTGTGAGTAGAATGCAAACATCACCAAGAAGGCTCTGAGCACGCTTCCATTTAGCTTTTATGGGAAGATTATCCCTTTTCCATCGAAATCTTCAAAGAGGTCCAAGTATCCGCTTGCAGGTCCCTCTGAAAGAGTGTTTCCAAGCTGCTGTATCAAAAGGAGCCTTCCACTCCGTGAGTTGAATGCAGTCATCACAAAGGAGAAGTTTCTGACAATGCGTCTCTCTAGTTTTTAGCTGAAGATATTTCCTTTTCCACCACAGGCCTGAAAGCGCTCCAAACGTCCACTTGGATACTCTACGAAAAGAATGTTTCAAAACTGCCCTAAGAAAAGCAAGGTTAAATTCTGGGAGTTGAACAAATGCCTCAAAAAGAAGTTTCAGAGAAGGCATCTGTTTACTCTTTAAGTGAAGATATTCCCGTTTCTAAGGAAATCTTCACAGAGTTCCACCTATCCATGTGCAGATTCTAGAAAAAAGAGAGTTTCGAAACTGCTCTATCCAAAGGAATGTTCAACTCTGTGAGTTGCACGCAATCATCACAGAGAAGTTTCTGAGAAGGCTTCTGTCTGGATTTTCTGTGAAGATATACCCATGTCGAATGAAGGCCACAAAGTGCTCCCAATATCCACTTGCAGATCCTACAAAAAGAGTGTTTCAAACGTGAACTATCAAAGGAAGGTTCAACTCTGGACTTTGAATGCAAACGTCACAAAGAAGTTTCTGCGAAAGCTTCTGTTCAGTTAGGTGACGTTATCCCGTTTCCAACGAAATCCTCAGGGAGGTCCAACTGTCCACTTGGAGATTCTACAAAAAGTGTGTTTCAAAACTGCTCCATCCAAAGAAATGTTCCGCTCTGTGAGTTCAACTCAATCATCCCAAAGTATTTTCTGAGAATGCTTCTGTCCAGTTTTTACACGAAGCTATTTCCGTTACTACCGTAGGCCTCAAAGCGTTGCGATTCTCCATTTTCAGATACTACGAAAAGAGTGTTTCAACTTGAACTCACAAGGGAATGTTCAACCCCGTGAGTTGAATGCCAACATCACGAAGAAGTTTCTGAGAATGCTTCTGTTTAGTTCTGTGAGGTTTATCCGGTTTCCAACGAAATCCTCAGAGAAGTCCAAACACCCACTCGCAGATTCTACAAAAAGTGTGTTTCGAAACTGCTCCATCCAAAACAATGTTCAGCTCTGTGGGTTGAACTCAATCGTCACAAAGTGTTTGCTGAGAATGCTGCTGTCTATTTTTTATGGGCAGTGATTTCCTCTACTGCCATAGGCCTCAAAGCGGTCCAAATCTCCCCTTACCGATTCTACCAAAAGTGTGTTTCCAAACGGCTCTATCAAAGGGAATGTTCAACTCTATGACCTGGAAGTAATCATCACAAAGTAGTTTCTGAGAATGCTTCCATCTACCTTTTATGAGTAGATATTTCCTTTTCCACCACAGGCCTCGAAGCCCTCCAAATGTCCACTTACAGATTCTAGAAAGAGAGGGTTTCAAAGCTGCTCTATGGAAAGGAAAGTATAACTCTGTGAGTTGAATGCAAACATCACAAAGAAGTCTCTGAGCATGCTTCCGTTTAGCTTTTATGGGAAGATTATCCCTTTTCCATCGAAATCTCCAAAGAGGTCCAAATATCTGCTTGCAGGTCCCACTGAAAGAGTGTTTCCAAACTGCTGTATCAAAAGGAACCTTCAACTCCGTGAGTTGAATGCCATCATCACAAAGACGTTTCTGACAATGTTTCTCTCTAGTTTTGAGGTGAAGACATTTCCTTTTCCACCACAGGCCTGAAAGCGCTCCAAACGTCCACTTGGAGACTCTACAAAAAGAATGTTTCAAAACTGCTCTATGAAAAGCAAGGTTAAAGTCTGGGAGTTGAACACATGCCTCACAAAGAAGTTTCTGAGAAAGCATCCGTTTACTCTTTAAGTGAAGATATTCCCGTTTCCAAGGAAATCTTCACAGAGTTCCACCTATCCATGTGCAGATTCCAGAAAAAAGAGAGTTTCGAAACTGCTCTATCCAAAGGAATGTTCAACTCTGTGAGTCGCATGCAATCATCACAGAGAAGTTTCTGAGAAGGCTTCTGTCTGGATTTTATGTGAAGATATACCCATTTCGAACGAAGGCCACAAAGTGCTCCCAATATCCACTTGCAGATCCTACAAAAAGAGTGTTTCCAACGTGAACTATCAAGGGAAGGTTCAACTCTGGACTTTGAATGCAAACGTCACAGAGAAGTTTCTGCGAAAGCTTCTGTTTAGTTAGGTGACGTTATCCCGTTTCCAACGAAATCCTCAAGGAGGTGCAACTGTCCACTTGCAGATTCTACAAAAAGTGTGTTTCAAAACTGCTCCATCCAAAGGAATGTTCCGCTCTGTGAGTTCAACTCAATCATCCCAAAGTATTCTCTGAGAATGCTTCTGTCCAGTTTTTACTCGAAGCTATTTCCTTTACTACCGTAGGCCACAAAGCGTTCCAAATCTCCACTTGCAGATACTACGAAAAGAGTGTTTCAACCTGAACTCACAAGGGACGGTTCAACTCTGTGAGTTGAATGCCAACATCACGAAGAAGTTCCTGACAATGCTTCTGTTTAGTTCTGTGAGGTTTATCCCGTTTCCAACGAAATCCACAGAGAAATCCAAACACCCACTTGCAGATTCTACAAAAAGTGTGTTTCGAAACTTCTCCATCCAAAACAATGTTCAGCTCTGTGGGTTGAACTCAATCGTCACAAAGTGTTTCCTGAGAATGCTGCTGTCTAGTTTTTATGGGCAGTGTTTTAATCTACTGCCATAGGCTTCAAAGCGGTCCAAATCTCCCCTTGCCGATTCTACCAAAAGTGTGTTTCCAAACGGCTCTATCAAAGGGAATGTTCAGCTCTGTGACCTGAAAGCAATCATCACAAAGTAGTTTCTGAGAATGCTTCCATCTAGCTTTTATGAGTAGATAGTTCCTTTTCCACCACAGGCCTCGAAGCCCACCAAATGTCCACTTGCAGATTCTAGAAAGAGAGGGTTTCAAAGCTGCTCTGTTGAAAGGAAAGTACAACTCTGTGAGTTGAATGCAAACATCACCAAGAAGGCTCTGAGCACGCTTCCGTTTAGCTTTTATGGGAAGATTATCCCTTTTCCATCGAAATCTCCAAAGAGCCCCAAATATCCGCTTGCAGGTCCCACTGAAAGAGTGTTCCCAAACTGCTGTATTAAAAGGAACCTTCAACTCCGTGAGTTGAATGCCATCATCACAAAGACGTTTCTGACAATGCTTCTCTCTAGTTTTGAGGTGAAGATATTTCCTTTTCCACCACAGGCCTGAAAGCGCTCCAAACGTCCACTTGGAGACTCTACGAAAAGAATGTTTCAAAACTGCTCTATGAAAAGCATGGTTAAAGTCTGGGAGTTGAACACATGCCTCACAAAGAAGTTTCTGAGAAGGCATCCGTTTACTCTTTAAGTGAAGATATTCCCGTTTCCAAGGAAATCTTCACAGAGTTCCACCTATCCATGTGCAGATTCCAGAAAAAAGAGAGTTTCGAAACTGCTCTATCCAAAGGAATGTTCAACTCTGTGAGTTGCATGCAATCATCACAGAGAAGTTTCTGAGAAGGCTTCTGTCTGGATTTTATGTGAAGATATACCCATTTCGAACGAAGGCCACAAAGTGCTCCCAATATCCACTTGCAGATCCTACAAAAAGAGTGTTTCCAACGTGAACTATCAAGGGAAGGTTCAACTCTGGACTTTGAATGCAAACGTCACAAAGAAGTTTCTGCGAAAGCTTCTGTTTAGTTAGGTGACGTTATCCCGTTTCCAAAGAAATCCTCAGGGAGGTCCAACTGTCCACTTGCAGATTCTACAAAAAGTGTGTTTCAAAACTGCTCCATCCAAAGGAATGTTCCGCTCTGTGAGTTCAACTCAATCATCCCAAAGTATTTTCTGCGAATGCTTCTGTCCAGTTTTTACAAGAAGCTATTTCCTTTACTACCGCAGGCCTCAAAGCGTTCCAAATCTCCACTTGCAGATACTACGAAAAGAGTGATTCAACTTGAAATCACAAGGGAATGTTCACCCCCGTGAGTTGAATGCCAACATCACGAAGAAGTTTCTGAGAATGCTTCTGTTTAGTTCTGTGAGGTTTATCCCGTTTCCAACGAAATCCTCAGAGAAGCCCAAACACCCACTTGCAGATTCTACAAAAAGTGTGTTTCGAAACTGCTCCATCCAAAACAATGTTCAGCTCTGTGGGTTGAACTCAATCGTCACAAAGTGTTTCCTGAGAATGCTGCTGTCTAGTTTTTATGGGCAGTGATTTCCTCTACTGCCATAGGCCTCAAAGCGGTCCAAATCTCCCCTTGCCGATTGAACCAAAAGTGTGTCTCCAAACGGCTCTATCAAAGGGAATGTTCAACTCTGTGACCTGAAAGCAATCATCACAAAGTAGTTTCTGAGAATGCTTCCATCTAGCTTTTATGAGTAGATAGTTCCTTTTCCACCACAGGCCTCGAAGCCCTCCAAATGTCCACTTGCAGATTCTAGAAAGAGAGGGTTTCAAAGCTGCTCTGTCGAAAGGAAAGTACAACTCTGTGAGTTGAATGCAAACATCACCAAGAAGGCTCTGAGCACGCTTCCGTTTAGCTTTTATGGGAAGATTATCCCTTTTCCATCGAAATCTCCAAAGAGGTCCAAATATCCGCTTGCAGGTCCCACTGAAAGAGTGTTTCCAAACTGCTGTATCAAAAGGAACCTTGAACTCCGTGAGTTGAATGCCATAATCACAAAGACGTTTCTGACAATGCTTCTCTCTAGTTTTGAGGTGAAGATATTTCCTTTTCCACCACAGGCCTGAAAGCGCTCCAAACGTCCACTTGGAGACTCTACGAAAAGAATGTTTCAAAACTGCTCTGTGAAAAGCAAGGTTAAAGTCTGGGAGTTGAACATATGCCTCACAAAGAAGTTTCTGAGAAGGCATCCGTTTACTCTTTAAGTGAAGATATTCCCGTTTCCAAGGAAATCTTCACAGAGTTCCACCTATCCATGTGCAGATTCCAGAAAAAAGAGAGTTTCGAAACTGCTCTATCCAAAGGAATGTTCAACTCTGTGAGTTGCATGCAATCATCACAGAGAAGTTTCTGAGAAGGCTTCTGTCTGGATTTTATGTGAAGATATACCCATTTCGAACGAAGGCCACAAAGTGCTCCCAATATCCACTTGCAGATCCTACAAAAAGAGTGTTTCCAACGTGAACTATCAAGGGAAGGTACAACTCTGGACTTTGAATGCAAACGTCACAAAGAAGTTTCTGCGAAAGCTTCTGTTTAGTTAGGTGACGTTATCCCGTTTCCAAAGAAATCCTCAGGGTGGTCCAACTGTCCACTTGCAGATTCTACAAAAAGTGTGTTTCAAAACTGCTCCATCCAAAAGAATGTTCCGCTCTGTGAGTTCAACTCAATCATCCCAAAGTATTTTCTGCGAATGCTTCTGTCCAGTTTTTACACGAAGCTATTTCCTTTACTACAGTAGGCCTCAAAGCGTTCCAAATCTCCACTTGCAGATACTACGAAAAGAGTGTTTCAACTTGAACTCACAAGGGAATGTTCAACCCCGTGAGTTGAATGCCAACATCACGAAGAAGTTTCTGAGAATGCTCCTGTTTAGTTCTGTGAGGTTTATCCCGTTTCCAAGGAAATCCTCAGAGAAGTCCAAACACCCACTTGCAGATTCTACAAAAAGTGTGTTTCGAAACTGCTCCATCCAAAACAATGTTCAGCTCTGTGGGTTGAACTCAATCGTCACAAAGTGTTTCCTGAGAATGCTGCTGTCTAGTTTTTATGGGCAGTGATTTCCTCTACTGCCATAGGCCTCAAAGCGGTCCAAATCTCCCCTTGCCGATTCTACCAAAAGTGTGTCTCCAAACAGCTCTATCAAAGGGAATGTTCAACTCTGTGACCTGAAAGCAATCATCACAAAGTAGTTTCTGAGAATGCTTCCATCTAGCTTTTATGAGTAGATAGTTCCTTTTCCACCACAGGCCTCGAAGCCCACCAAATGTCCACTTGCAGATTCTAGAAAGAGAGGGTTTCAAAGCTGCTCTGTCGAAAGGAAAGTACAACTCTGTGAGTTGAATGCAAACATCACCAAGAAGGCTCTGAGCACGCTTCCGTTTAGCTTTTATGGGAAGATTATCCCTTTTCCATCGAAATCTCCAAAGAGCCCCAAATATCCGCTTGCAGGTCCCAGTGAAAGAGTGTTTCTGAACTGCTGTATCAAAAGGAACCTTCAACTCCGTGAGTTGAATGCCATCATCACAAAGACGTTTCTGACAATGCTTCTCTCTAGTTTTGAGGTGAAGACATTTCCTTTTCCACCACAGGCCTGAAAGCGCTCCAAACGTCCACTTGGAGACTCTACGAAAAGAATGTTTCAAAACTGCTCTATGAAAAGCAAGGTTAAAGTCTGGGAGTTGAACACATGCCTCACAAAGAAGTTTCTGAGAAAGCA
>NC_000001.11:122230067-122237366 GCF_000001405.40 Homo sapiens | reverse complement strand
TCTGTCTTGTTTTAGGATGAAGTTATTTCCTTTACGACGATAGGCCTCAAAGAGGTCCAAATCTCCACTTGCAGATTCTGCAGAAGGAGTGTTTCAAACCGGAACTATCAGAGAAAGGTTCAACACTGTGAGTTGAATGCAAGCATCACGAAGAAGGTTCTGAGAATGCTTCTTTTTAGACAAGTGAGTTTTCTCCCGTATCCAACGAAATCCTCAGAGAGGTCCAAATATCCACTTGCAGATTCTACAGAAAGTGTGTTTTGAAACTGCTCCATCCAAAGGAATGTTCAGCTCTGTGAGTTGAACTCAATAGTCACAAAGTGTTTCCTGGGAATGCTACTGTCTAGTTTTATGGGCAGTTATATCCTCTGCTGCCATAGGCCTCAAAGCGGTCCAAATCTCCCCTTTCAGATTCTACCAAAAGTGTGTTTCCAAACGGCTCTATCAAAGGGAATGTTCAACTCTGTGACTTGAATGCAATCATCACAAAGCAGTTTCTGATAATGCTTCCATGTAGCTTTAATGAGCAGATATTTCCTTTTCCACCCCAGGCCTCGAAGCCCTCCAAATGTCCCCTTGCAGATGCTAGAAAGAGAGGGTTTCAAAGCTGCTCTATCAAAAGGAAAGTACAACTCTGTGAGTTGAATGCAAACATCACAAAGAAGCTCCTGAGCATGCTTCCGTTTAGCTTTTATGGGAAGATTATCCCTTTTCCATCGAAATGTTCAAAGAGGTACACATATCCGCTTGCAGATTCCACCGAAAGAGTGTTTCCAAACTGCTGTATCAAAAGGAATCTTCAACTCCGTGAGTTGAATGCAATCATCACAAAGAAGTTTCTGACAACGCTTCTCTCTAGTTTTTATATGAAGATATTTCCTTTTCCACCACAGGCCTGAAAGCGCTCCAAATGTCCACTTGGAGACTCTACGAAAAGAATGTTTCAAAACTGCTCTATGAAAAGCAATGTTATACTCTGGGAGTTGAACACAAGCCTCACAAAGGAGTTTCTGAGAATGCTTCTGTTTACTTTTTACGTGAAGATATTCCCGTTTCCAAAGAAATCTTCACAGACTTCCACCTATCCATTTGCAGATGCTAGAAAAAGAGAGTTTCAAAACTGCTCTATCAAAAGGAATGTTCAACTCTGTGAGTTGAATGCAGTCATCACAGAGAAGTTTCTGAGAAGGCTTCTGTCTAGATTTTATGTGAAGATATAGCCGTTTCGAACAAACGCCACAAAGTGCTCCAAATATCCACTTGCAGGTCCTCCAACAAGAGTGTTTCAAACGTGAACTATCAAAGGAAGGTTCAACTATGGACTTTGAATGCAAACGTCAGAAAGATGTTTCTGCGAAAGCTTCTGTTTAGTTAGGTGACGTTATCCCGTTTCCAACGAAATCCTCAGAGAGGTCCAAATATCCACTTGCAGATGCTACAAAAAGTGTGTTTCAAAACTGCTCCATCCAAAGGAATGTTCAGCCCTGTGAGTTACACTCAATCATCACAAAGTATTTTCTGAGAATGCTTCTGTCCAGTTTTTACTCGAAGCTATTTCCTTTACTACCGTAGGCCACAAAGCGTTCCAAATCTCCACTTGCAGATACTACGAAAAGAGTGTTTCAACCTGAACTCACAAGGGACGGTTCAACTCTGTGAGTTGAATGCCAACATCACGAAGCAGTTCCTGACAATGCTTCTCTTCAGTTATGTGAGTTTTATCCCGTTTCCAACGAAATTCTCAGAGAAGTACAAATATCCACTTGCATATTCTACATAAAGTGTGTTTTGAAAGTGCTCCATCAAAAGATATGCTCAGCTCTGTGAGTTAAACTCAATCATCACAAAGAATTTTCTGAGAATGCTTCTGTCTTGTTTTAGGATGAAGTTATTTCCTTTACGACGATAGGCCTCAAAGAGGTCCAAATCTCCACTTGCAGATTCTGCAGAAGGAGTGTTTCAAACCTGAACTATCAGAGAAAGGTTCAACACTGTGAGTTGAATGCAAGCATCACGAAGAAGGTTCTGAGAATGCTTCTGTTTAGATAGGTGAGTTTTCTCCCGTATCCAACGAAATCCTCAGAGAGGTCCAAATATCCACTTGCAGATTCTACAGAAAGTGTGTTTTGAAACTGCTCCATCCAAAGGAATGTTCAGCTCTGTGAGTTGAACTCAATCGTCACAAAGTGTTTCCTGGGAATGCTACTGTCTTGTTTTTATATGTAGTTATTTGCTCTGCTGCCGTAGGCCTGAAAGCGGTCCAAATCTCCCCTTTCAGATTCTACCAAAAGTGTGTTTCCAAACGGCTCTATCAAAGGGAATGTTCAACTCTGTGACTTGAATGCAATCATCAAAAAAGTAGTTTCTGAGAATGCTTCCATCTAGCTTTTATGAGAAGATATTTCCTTTCCCACCACAGGCCTCGAAGCCCTCCAAATGTCCATTTGCAGATTCTAGAAAGAGAGGGTTTCAAGGCTGCTCTATCAAAAAGAAAGTACAACTCTGTGAGTTGAATGCAAACACCACAAAGAAGTTTCTGAGAATACTTCCGTTTAGCTTTTATGGGAAGATTATCCCTTTTCAATCGAAATATTCAAAGAGGTCCACATATCCGCTTGCAGATTCCACCGAAAGAGGGTTTCCAAACTGCTGTATCGAAAGGAATCTTCAACTCCGTGAGTTGAATGCAATCATCACAAAGAAGTTTCTGACAATGCTTCTCTCTAGTTTTTATGTGAAGATATTTCCTTTTCCACCACAGGCCTGAAAGCTCTCCAAATGTCCACTTGGAGACTCTACGAAAAGAATGTTTCAAAACTGCTCTATGAAAAGCAATGTTATACTCTGGGAGTTGAACACAAGCCTCACAAAGGAGTTTCTGAGAATGCTTCTGTTTACTTTTTACGTGAAGATATTCCCGTTTCCAAAGAAATCTTCACAGACTTCCACCTATCCATTTGCAGATGCTAGAAAAAGAGAGTTTCAAAACTGCTCTATCAAAAGGAATGTTCAACTCTGTGAGTTGAATGCAGTCATCACAGAGAAGTTTCTGAGAAGGCTTCTGTCTAGATTTTATGTGAAGATATACCCGTTTCGAACGAAGGCCACAAAGTGCTCCAAATATCCACTTGCAGGTCCTCCAACAAGAGTGTTTCAAACGTGAACTATCAAAGGAAGGTTCAACTCTGGACTTTGAATGCAAACGTCAGAAAGATGTTTCTGCGAAAGCTTCTGTTTAGTTAGGTGACGTTATCCCGTTTCCAACGAAATCCTCAGAGAGGTCCAAATATCCACCTGCAGATTCTGCAAAAAGTGTGTTTCCAAACTGCTGCACCCAAAGGCATGTTCAGCTCTGTGAGTTAAACTCAATCATCACAAAGTATTTTCTGAGAATGCTTCTGTCCAGTTTTTACATGAAGCTGTTTCCTTTACTACCGTAGGCCTCAAAGCGTTCCAAATCTCCACTTGCAGATGCTACGAAAAGAGCGTTTCAACCTGAACTCACAAGGGAAGGTTCACCTCTGTCAGTTGAATGTCAACATCACAAAGAAGTTCTGAGAAGGTTTCTCTTCAGTTATGTGAGTTTTATCCCGTTTCCAACGAAATTCTCAGAGAAGTACAAATATCCACTTGCATATTCTACACAAAGTGTGTTTTGAAAGTGCTCCATCAAAAGATATGCTCAGCTCTGTGAGTTAAACTCAATCATCACAAAGAATTTTCTGAGAATGCTTCTGTCTTGTTTTAGGATGAAGTTATTTCCTTTACGACGATAGGCCTCAAAGAGGTCCAAATCTCCACTTGCAGATTCTGCAGAAGGAGTGTTTCAAACCTGAACTATCAGAGAAAGGTTCAACACTGTGAGTTGAATGCAAGCATCACGAAGAAGGTTCTGAGAATGCTTCTGTTTAGATAGGTGAGTTTTCTCCCGTATCCAACGAAATCCTCAGAGAGGTCCAAATATCCACTTGCAGATTCTACCGAAAGTGTATTTTGAAACTGCTCCATCCAAAGGAATGTTCAGCTCTGTGAGTTGAACTCAATCGTCACAAAGTGTTTCCTGGGAATGCTTACTGTCTAGTTTTTATGGGCAGTTATATCCTCTGCTGCCATAGGCCTCAAAGCGGTCCAAATCTCCCCTTTCAGATTCTACCAAAAGTGTGTTTCCAAACGGCTCTATCAAAGGGAATGTTCAACTCTGTGACTTGAATGCAATCATCACAAAGCAGTTTCTGAGAATGCTTCCATGTAGCTTTTATGAGCAGATATTTCCTTTTCCACCCCAGGCCTCGAAGCCCTCCAAATGTCCCCTTGCAGATGCTAGAAAGAGAGGGTTTCAAAGCTGCTCTATCAAAAGGAAAGTACAACTCTGTGAGTTGAATGCAAACATCACAAAGAAGTTCCAGAGCATGCTTCCGTTTAGCTTTTATGGGAAGATTATCCCTTTTCCATCGAAATGTTCAAAGAGGTCCACATATCCGCTTGCAGATTCCACCGAAAGAGCGTTTCCAAACTGCTGTATCAAAAGGAATCTTCAACTCCGTGAGTTGAATGCAATCATCACAAAGAAGTTTCTGACAACGCTTCTCTCTAGTTTTTATGTGAAGATATTTCCTTTTCCACCACAGGCCTGAAAGCGCTCCAAATGTCCACTTGGAGACTCTACGAAAAGAATGTTTCAAAACTGCTCTATGAAAAGCAATGTTATACTCTGGGAGTTGAACACAAGCCTCACAAAGGAGTTTCTGAGAATGCTTCTGTTTACTTTTTACGTGAAGATATTCCCGTTTCCAAAGAAATCTTCACAGACTTCCACCTATCCATTTGCAGATGCTAGAAAAAGAGAGTATCAAAACTGCTCTATCAAAAGGAATGTTCAACTCTGTGAGTTGAATGCAGTCATCACAGAGAAGTTTCTGAGAAGGCTTCTGTCTAGATTTTATGTGAAGATATACCCGTTTCGAACGAAGGCCACAAAGTGCTCCAAATATCCACTTGCAGGTCCTCCAACAAGAGTGTTTCAAACGTGAACTATCAAAGGAAGGTTCAACTCTGGACTTTGAATGCAAACGTCAGAAAGATGTTTCTGCGAAAGCTTCCGTTTAGTTAGGTGACGTTATCCCGTTTCCAACGAAATCCTCAGAGAGGTCCAAATATCCACCTGCAGATTCTGCAAAAAGTGTGTTTCCAAACTGCTCCACCCAAAGGCATGTTCAGCTCTGTGAGTTAAACTCAATCATCACAAAGTATTTTCTGAGAATGCTTCTGTCCAGTTTTTACATGAAGCTGTTTCCTTTACTACCGTAGGCCTCAAAGCGTTCCAAATCTCCACTTGCAGATACTACGAAAAGAGCGTTTCAACCTGAACTCACAAGGGAAGGTTCAACTCTGTCAGTTGAATGCCAACATCACAAAGAAGTTCTGGGAATGTTTCTCTTCAGTTATGTGAGTTTTATCCCGTTTCCAACGAAATTCTCAGAGAAGTACAAATATCCACTTGCATATTCTACAAAAAGTGTGTTTTGAAAGTGCTCCATCAAAAGATATGCTCAGCTCTGTGAGTTAAACTCAATCATCACAAAGAATTTTCTGAGAATGCTTCTGTCTTGTTTTAGGATGAAGTTATTTCCTTTACGACGATAGGCCTCAAAGAGGTCCAAATCTCCACTTGCAGATTCTGCAGAAGAAGTGTTTCAAACCTGAACTATCAGAGAAAGGTTCAACACTGTGAGTTGAATGCAAGCATCACGAAGAAGGTTCTGAGAATGCTTCTGTTTAGATAGGTGAGTTTTCTCCCGTATCCAACGAAATCCTCAGAGAGGTCCAAATATCCACTTGCAGATTCTACAGAAAGTGTGTTTTGAAACTGCTCCATCCAAAGGAATGTTCAGCTCTGTGAGTTGAACTCAGTCGTCACAAAGTGTTTCCTAGGAATGCTACTGTCTAGTTTTTATGTGCAGTTATATCCTCTGCTGCCATAGGCCTCAAAGCGGTCCAAATCTCCCCTTTCAGATTCTACCAAAAGTGTGTTTCCAAACGGCTCTATCAAAGGGAATGTTCAACTCTGTGACTTGAATGCAATCATCACAAAGCAGTTTCTGAGAATGCTTCCATGTAGCATTTAGGAGCAGATATTTCCTTTTCCACCCCAGGCCTCGAAGCCCTCCAAATGTCCCCTTGCAGATGCTAGAAAGAGAGGGTTTCAAAGCTGCTCTATCAAAAGGAAAGTACAACTCTGTGAGATGAATGCAAACATCACAAAGAAGTTCCTGAGCATGCTTCCGTTTAGCTTTTATGGGAAGATTATCCCTTTTCCATCGAAATGTTCAAAGAGGTCCACATATCCGCTTGCAGATTCCACCGAAAGAGTGTTTCCAAACTGCTGTATCAAAAGGAATCTTCAACTCCGTGAGTTGAATGCAATCATCACAAAGAAGTTTCTGACAATGCTTCTCTCTAGTTTTTATGTGAAGATATTTCCTTTTCCACCACAGGCCTGAAAGCGCTCCAAATGTCCACTTGGAGACTCTACGAAAAGAATGTTTCAAAACTGCTCTATGAAAAGCAATGTTATACTCTGGGAGTTGAACACAAGCCTCACAAAGGAGTTTCTGAGAATGCTTCTGTTTACTTTTTACGTGAAGATATTCCCGTTTCCAAAGAAATCTTCACAGAGTTCCACCTATCCATTTGCAGATGCTAGAAAAAGAGAGTTTCAAAACTGCTCTATCAAAAGGAATGTTCAACTCTGTGAGTTGAATGCAGTCATCACAGAGAAGTTTCTGAGAAGGCTTCTGTCTGGATTTTAAGTGAAGATATACCCGTTTCGAACGAAGGCCACATAGTGCTCCAAATATCCACTTGCAGATCCTACAAAAAGAGAGTTTCAAACGTGAGCTATCGAAGGAAGGTTCAACTCTGGACTTTGAATGCAAACGTCCCAAAGAAGTTTCTGCGAAAGCTTCTGTTTAGTTAGGTGACGTTATCCCGTTTCCAACGAAATCCTCAGAGAGGTCCAAATATCCACCTGCAGATTCTGCAAAAAGTGTGTTTCCAAACTGCTGCACCCAAAGGCATGTTCAGCTCTGTGAGTTAAACTCAATCATCACAAAGTATTTTCTGAGAATGCTTCTGTCCAGTTTTTACTCGAAGCTATTTCCTTTACTACCGTAGGCCACAAAGCGTTCCAAATCTCCACTTGCAGATACTACGAAAAGAGTGTTTCAACCTGAACTCACAAGGGACGGTGCAACTCTGTGAGTTGAATGCCAACATCATGAAGAAGTTCCTGACAATGCT
>NC_000001.11:122224635-122229967 GCF_000001405.40 Homo sapiens | reverse complement strand
GAAGCATTCTCAGAAATTTCTTTGTGATGATTGAGTTTAACTCACAGAGCTGAGCATATCTTTTGATGGAGCATTTTTTTTTTCTTTTTTTTTTATTATACTCTAAGTTTTAGGGTACATGTGCACATTGTGCAGGTCAGTTACATATGTATACATGTGCCATGCTGGTGCACTGCACCCACTAATGTGTCATCTAGCATTAGGTATATCTCCCAGTGCTATCCCTCCCACCTCCCCCGACCCCACCACAGTCCCCAGAGTGTGATATTCCCCTTCCTGTTTCCATGTGATCTCATTGTTCAATTCCCACCTATGAGTGAGAATATGCGGTGTTTTGTTTTTTGTTCTTGCAATAGTTTACTGAGAATGATGGTTTCCAATTTCATCCATGTCCCTACAAAGGATATGAACTCATCATTTTTTATGGCTGCATAGTATTCCGTGGTGTATATGTGCCACATTTTCTTAATCCATTCTATCATTGTTGGACATTTGGGTTGGTTCCAAGTCTTTGCTATTGTGAATAGTGCCGCAATAAACATACGTGTGCATGTGTCTTTATAGCAGCATGATTTATCTGTCTTGTTTTAGGATGAAGTTATTTCCTTTACTACGATAGGCCTCAAAGAGGTCCAAATCTCCACTTGCAGATTCTGCAGAAGGAGTTTTTCAAACCTGAACTATCCGAGAAAGGTTCAACAATGTGAGTTGAATGCAAGCATCACGAAGAAGGTTCTAAGAATGCTTCTGTTTAGATAAGTGAATTTTCTCCCGTATCCAACGAAATCCTCAGAGAGGTCCAAATATCCACTTGCAGATTCTACAGAAAGTGTGTTTTGAAACTGCTCCATCCAAAGGAATGTTGAGCTCTGTGAGTTGAACTCAATCGTCACAAAGTGTTTCTTGGGAATGCTATTGTCTAGTTTTTATGGGCAGTTATATCCTCTGCTGCCATAGGCCTCAAAGCGGTCCAAATCTCCCCTTTCAGATTCTACCAAAAGTGTGTTTCCAAACGGCTCTATCAAAGGGAATGTTCAACTCTGTGACTTGAATGCAATCATCACAAAGCAGTTTCTGAGAATGCTTCCATGTAGCTTTTATGAGCAGATATTTCCTTTTCCACCCCAGGCCTCGAAGCCCTCCAAATGTCCCCTTGCAGATGCTAGAAAGAGAGGGTTTCAAAGCTGCTCTATCAAAAGGAAAGTACAACTCTGTGAGTTGAATGCAAACATCACAAAGAAGTTCCTGAGCATGCTTCCGTTTAGCTTTCATGGGAAGATTATCCCTTTTCCATCGAAATGTTCAAAGAGGTCCAAATATCCGCTTGCAGATTCCACCGAAAGAGTGTCTCCAAACTGCTGTATCAAAAGGAATCGTCAACTCCGTGAGTTGAATGCAATCATCACAAAGAAGTTTCTGACAATGCTTCTCTCTAGTTTTTATGTGAAGATATTTCCTTTTCCACCACAGGCCTGAAAGCGCTCCAAATGTCCACTTGGAGACTCTACGAAAAGAATGTTTCAAAACTGCTCTATGAAAAGCAATGTTATACTCTGGGAGTTGAACACAAGCCTCACAAAGGAGTTTCTGAGAATGCTTCTGTTTACTTTTTACGTGAAGATATTCCCGTTTCCAAAGAAATCTTCACAGAGTTCCACCTATCCATTTGCAGATGCTAGAAAAAGAGAGTTTCAAAACTGCTCTATCAAAAGGAATGTTCAACTCTGTGAGTTGAATGCAGTCATCACAGAGAAGTTTCTGAGAAGGCTTCTGGCTAGATTTTATGTGAAGATATACCCGTTTCGAACAAAGGCAACAAAGTGCTCCAAATATCCACTTGCAGGTCCTCCAACAAGAGTGTTTCAAACGTGAACTATCAAAGGAAGGTTCAACTCTGGACTTTGAATGCAAACGTCAGAAAGATGTTTCTGCGAAAGCTTCTGTTTAGTTGGGTGACGTTATCCCGTTTCCAAAGAAATCCTCAGAGAGGTCCAAATATCCACCTGCAGATTCTGCAAAAAGTGTGTTTCCAAACTGCTCCACCCAAAGGAATGTTCAGCTCTGTGAGTTAAACTCAATCATCACAAAGTATTTTCTGAGAATGCTTCTGTCCAGTTTTTACTCGAAGCTATTTCCTTTACTACCGTAGGCCACAAAGCGTTCCAAATCTCCACTTGCAGATACTACGAAAAGAGTGTTTCAACTTGAACTCACAAGGGACGGTTCAACTCTGTGAGTTGAATGCCAACATCACGAAGAAGTTCCTGACAATGCTTCTCTTCAGTTACGTGAGTTTTATCCCGTTTCCAACGAAATTCTCAGAGAAGTACAAATATCCACTTGCATATTCTACAAAAAGTGTGTTTTGAAAGTGCTCCATCAAAAGATATGCTCAGCTCTGTGAGTTAAACTCAATCATCACAAAGAATTTTCTGAGAATGCTTCTGTCTTGTTTTAGGATGAAGTTATTTCCTTTACGACGATAGGCCTCAAAGAGGTCCAAATCTCCACTTGCAGATTCTGCAGAAGGAGTGTTTCAAACCTGAACTATCAGAGAAAGGTTCAACACTGTGAGTTGAATGCAAGCATCACGAAGAAGGTTCTGAGAATGCTTCTGTTTAGATAGGTGAGGTTTCTCCCGTTTCCAACGAAATCCTCAGAGAGGTCCAAATATCCACTTGCAGATTCTACAAAAAGTGTGTTTTGAAACTGCTCCATCCAAAGGAATGTTCAGCTCTGTGAGTTGAACTCAATCGTCACAAATTGTTTCCTGAGAATGCTAACTGTCTAGTTTTTATGGGCAGTTACATCCTCTGCTGCCATAGGCCTCAAAGCGGTCCAAATCTCCCCTTTCAGATTCTACCAAAAGTGTGTTTCCAAACGGCTCTATCAAAGGGAATGTTCAACTCTGTGACTTGAATGCAATCATCACAAAGCAGTTTCTGAGAATGCTTCCATGTAGCTTTTAGGAGAAGATATTTCCTTTTCCACCCCAGGCCTCGAAGCCCTCCAAATGTCCCCTTGCAGATGCTAGAAAGAGAGGGTTTCAAAGCTGCTCTATCAAAAGGAAAGTACAACTCTGTGAGTTGAATGCAAACATCACAAAGAAGTTCCTGAGCATGCTTCCGTTTAGCTTTTATGGGAAGATTATCCCTTTTCCATCGAAATGTTCAAAGAGGTCCACATATCCGCCTGCAGATTCCACAGAAAGAGTCTTTCCAAACTGCTGTATCAAAAGGAATCCTCAGCTCCGTGAGTTGAATGCAATCATCACAAAGAAGTTTCTGACAATGCTTCTCTCTAGTTTTTATGTGAAGATATTTCCTTTTCCACCACAGGCCTGAAAGCGCTCCAAATGTCCACTTGGAGACTCTACGAAAAGAATGTTTCAAAACTGCTCTATGAAAAGCAATGTTATACTCTGGGAGTTGAACACAAGCCTCACAAAGGACTTTCTGAGAATGCTTCTGTTTACTTTTTACGTGAAGATATTCCCGTTTCCTAAGAAATCTTCACAGAGTTCCACCTATCCATTTGTAGATGCTAGAAAAAGAGAGTTTCAAAACTGCTCTATCAAAAGGAATGTTCAACTCTTTGAGTTGAATGCAGTCATCACAGTGAAGTTTCTGAGAAGGCTTCTGTCTAGATTTTACGTGAAGATATAGCCGTTTCGAACGAAGGCCACAAAGTGCTCCAAATATCCACTTGCAGGTCCTCCGAAAAGAGTGTTTCAAACGTGAACTACCAAAGGAAGGCTCAACTCTGGACTTTGAATGCCAACGTCAGAAAGATGTTTCTGCGAAAGCTTCTGTTTTCTTAGGCGACGTTATCCCGTTTCCAGTGAAATCCTCAGAGAGGTCCAAATATCCACCTGCAGAGTCTACAAAAAGTTTGTTTCAAATCTGCTCCACCCAAAGGAATGTTCAGCTCTGTGAGTTGAACTCAATCATCCCAAAGTATTTTCTGAGAATGCTTCTGTCCAGTTTTACATGAAGCTGTTTCCTTTACTACCGTAGGCCTCAAAGCGTTCCAAATCTCCACTTGCAGATACTACGAAAAGGGCGTTTCAACCTGAACTCACAAGGGAAGGTTCAACTCTGTCAGTTGAATGCCAACATCACAAAGAAGTTCTGGGAATGTTTCTCTTCAGTTATGTGAGGTTTATCCCGTTTCCAAAGAAATTCTCAGAGAAGTCCAAATATCCACTTGCATATTCTACAAAAAGTGTGTTTTGAACATGCTCCATCAGAAGATATGCTCAGCTCTGTGACGTAAACTCAATCATTGCAAAGAATTTTCTGAGAATGCTTTCTGTCTTGTTTTAGGATGAAGTTATTTCCTTTACGACGATAGGCCTCAAAGAGGTCCAAATCTCCACTTGCAGATTCTGCAGAAGGAGTGTTTCAAACCTGAACTATCAGAGAAAGGTTCAACACTGTGAGTTGAATGCAAGCATCACGAAGAAGGTTCTGAGAATGCTTCTGTTTAGATAAGTGAATTTTCTCCCGTATCCAACGAAATCCTCAGAGAGGTCCAAATATCCACTTGCAGATTCTACAGAAAGTGTGTTTTGAAACTGCTCCATCCAAAGGAATGTTCAGCTCTGTGAGTTGAACTCAATCGTCACAAAGTGTTTCTTGGGAATGCTACTGTCTAGTTTTTATGGGCAGTTATATCCTCTGCTGCCATAGGCCTCAAAGCGGTCCAAATCTCCCCTTTCAGATTCTACCAAAAGTGTGTTTCCAAATGGCTCTATCAAAGGGAATGTTCAACTCTGTGACTTGAATGCAATCATCACAAAGCAGTTTCTGAGAATGCTTCCATGTAGCTTTAATGAGCAGATATTTCCTTTTCCACCCCAGGCCTCGAAGCCCTCCAAATGTCCCCTTGCAGATGCTAGAAAGAGAGGGTTTCAAAGCTGCTCTATCAAAAGGAAAGTACAACTCTGTGAGTTGAATGCAAACATCACAAAGAAGTTCCTGAGCATGCTTCCGTTTAGCTTTCATGGGAAGATTATCCCTTTTCCATCGAAATGTTCAAAGAGGTCCACATATCCCCTTGCAGATTCCACCGAAAGAGTGTCTCCAAACTGCTGTATCAAAAGGAATCTTCAACTCCGTGAGTTGAATGCAATCATCACAAAGAAGTTTCTGACAATGCTTCTCTCTAGTTTTTATGTGAAGATATTTCCTTTTCCACCACAGGCCTGAAAGCGCTCCAAATGTCCACTTGGAGACTCTACGAAAAGAATGTTTCAAAACTGCTCTATGAAAAGCAATGTTATACTCTGGGAGTTGAACACAAGCCTCACAAAGGAGTTTCTGAGAATGCT
>NC_000001.11:122174031-122224535 GCF_000001405.40 Homo sapiens | reverse complement strand
TCTGTCCAGTTTTTACATGAAGCTGTTTCCTTTACTACCGTAGGCCTCAAAGCGTTCCAAACCTCCACTTGCAGATACTACGAAAAGAGCGTTTCAACCTGAACTCACAAGGGAAGGTTCAACTCTGTCAGTTGAATGCCAACGTCACCAAGAAGTTCTGAGAATGTTCCTCTTCAGTTATGTGAGGTTTATCCCGATTCCAACGAAATTCTCAGAGAAGTCCCAAAATCCACTTGCATATTCTACAAAAGGTGTGTCTTGAAAATGCGCAATCAAAAGATATGCTCAGCTCTGTGAGTTAAACTCAGTCATCGCAAAGAATTTTCTGAGAATGCTTCCGTCTTGTTTTTAGATGAAGTTCTTTCCTTTACTACGATAGGCCTCAAGGAGGTCCAAATCTCCACTTGCAGATTCTGCAGAAGGAGTGTTTCAAACCTGAACTGTCAGAGAAAGGTTCAACACTGTGAGTTGAATGCAAGCATCACGAAGAAGGTTCTGAGAATGCTTCTGTTTACGTATGTGACTTTTCTCCCGTATCCAACGAAACCCTCAGAGCGGTCCAAATCTCCACTTGCAGATTCTACACAAGGTGTGTTTGGAAACTGCTCCACCCAAAGGAATGTTCAGCTCTGTGAGTTGAACTCAATCGTCACAAAGCGTTTCCTGGGAATGCTCCTGTCTCGCTTTTATGTGCAGTTATATCCTCTACTGCCATAGGCCTCAAAGCTGTCGATATCTCCCCTTTCAGATTCTACCAAAAGTGTGTTTCCAAATGGCCCCATCAAAGGGGATGTTCAACTCGGTGACTTGAATGCAATCATCACAAAGCAGCTTCTGAGAATGCTTCCATGTAGCTTTGATGAGAAGATATTTCCTTTTCCACCCCAGGCCTCGAAGCCCTCCAAATGTCCCCTTGCAGATGCTAGAAAGAGGGGGTTTCAAAGCTGCTCTATCAAAAGGAAAGTACAACTCTGTGAGTTGAATGCAAACATCACAAGGGAAGTTCCTGAGCATGCTTCCGTTTAGCTTTTACGGGAAGATTATCCCTTTTCCATCAAAATGTTCAAAGAGGTCCACATATCCGCTTGCAGATTCCACCGAAAGAGTGTTTCCAAACTGCTGCATCCAAAGGAATCCTCAGCTCCGTGAGTTGAATGCAATCATCACCAAGAAGTTTCTGACAATGTTTCTCTCTAGTTTTTATGTGAAGATATTTCCTTTTCCACCGCAGGCCTGAAAGCGCTCCAAATGTTCACTTGGAGGCTCTACGAAAAGAATGTTTCAAAACTGCCCTATGAAAAGCAATGTTATACTCTGGGAGTTGAACACAAGCCTCACAAAGGAGTTTCTGAGAATGCTTCTGTTTACTTTTTACGTGAGGATATTCCCGTTTCCAAAGAAGTCTTCACAGAGTTCCACTTATACATTTGCAGATGCTAGCAAAAGAGAGTTTCAAAACTGCTCCATCAAAAGGAATTTTCAACTCTGTGAGTTGCATGCAATCATCACAGAGAAGTTTCTGAGAAGGCTTCTGTCTAGATTTTATGTGAAGATACGGCCGTTTCGAACGAAGGCCACAAAGCGCTCCCAATATCCACTTGCAGGTCCTCCAAAAAGAGTGTTTCAAACGTGAACTACCAAAGGAAGGCTCAACTCTGGACTTTGAATGCCAACGTCAGAAGGATGTTTCTGCGAAAGCTTCTGTTTTCTTAGGCGACGTTATCCCGTTTCCAGTGAAATCCTCAGAGAGGTCCAAATATCCACCTGCAGAGTCTACAAACAGTTTGTTTCAAATCTGCTCCACCCAAAGGAATGTTCAGCTCTGTGAGTTGAACTCAATCATCCCAAAGTATTTTCTGAGAATGCTTCTGTCCAGTTTTTACATGAAGCTGTTTCCTTTACTACCGTAGGCCTCAAAGCGTTCCAAACCTCCACTTGCAGATACTACAAAAAGAGCGTTTCAACCTGAACTCACAAGGGAAGGTTCAACTCTGTCAGTTGAATGCCAACATCACCAAGAACTTCTGAGAATGTTCCTCTTCAGTTATGTGAGGTTTATCCCGTTTCCCACGAAATTCTCAGAGAAGTCCCAAAATCCACTTGCATATTCCACAAAAGGTGTGTTTGGAAAATGCGCCATCAAAAGATATGCTCAGCTCTGTGAGTTAAACTCAATCATCGCAAAGAATTTTCTGAGAATGCTTCCGTCTTGTTTTTAGATGAAGTTCTTTCCTTTACTACGATAGGCCTCAAAGAGGTCCAAATCTCCACTTGCAGATTCTACAGAAGGAGTGTTTCAAACCTGAACTGTCAGAGAAAGGTTCAACACTGTGAGTTGAATGCAAGCATCACGAAGAAGGTTACTGAGAATGCTTCCGTTTACGTAGGTGAGTTCTCTCCCGTATCCAACGAAATCCTCAGAGCGGTCCGAATCTCCACTTGCAGATTCTACACAAAGTGTGTTTGGAAACTGCTCCATCCAAAGGAATGTTCAGCTCTGTGAGTTGAACTCAATCGTCACAAAGTGTTTCCTGGGAATGCTACTGTCTCGTTTTTATGTGCAGTTATATCCTCTACTGCCATAGGCCTCAAAGCTGTCCAAATATCCCCTTTAGGATTCTACCAAAATTGTGTTTCCCAACGGCTCCATCAAAGGGAATGTTCAGCTCGGTGACTTGAAAGCAATCATCACGAAGCAGCTTCTGAGAATGCTTCCATGTAGCTTTGATGAGAAGATATTTCCTTTTCCACCCCAGGCCTCGAAGCCCTCCAAATGTCCCCTTACAGATGCTAGAAAGAGGGGGTTTCAAAGCTGCTCTATCAAAAGGAAAGTACAACGCTGTGAGTTGAATGCAAACATCACAAGGAAGTTCCTGAGCATGCTTCCGTTTAGCTTTTACGGGAAGATTATCCCTTTTCCATCGGAATGTTCAAAGAGGTCCTCATATCCGCTTGCAGATTCCAACGAAAGAGTGTTTCCAAACTGCTGCATCAAAAGGAATCCTCAGCTCCGTGAGTTGAATGCAATCATCACCAAGAAGTTTCTGAGAATGCTTCTCTCTAGTTTTTATGTGAAGATATTTCCTTTTCCACCACAGGCCTGAAAGCGCTCCAAATGTCCACTTGGAGGCTCTACGAAAAGAATGTTTCAAAACTGCTCTATGAAAAGCAATGTTATACTCTGGGAGTTGAACACAAGCCACACAAAGGAGTTTCTGAGAATGCTTCTGTTTACTTTTTACGTGACGATATTCCCGTTTCCAAAGAAGTCTTCACAGAGTTCCACCTATCCATTTGCAGATGCTAGCAAAACTAGAGAATTTCAAAAGTGCTCTATCAAAAGGAATGTTCAACTCTGTGAGTTGTATGCAATCATCACAGAGAAGTTTCTGAGAAGGCTTCTGTCTAGATTTTATGTGAAGATATGGCCGTTTCGAACGAAGGCCACAAAGTGCTCCCAATATCCACTTGCAGGTCCTCCAAAAAGAGTGTTTCAAACGTGAACTACCAAAGGAAGGCTCAACTCTGGACTTTGAATGCCAACGTCGAAGGATGTTTCTGCGAAAGCTTCTGTTTAGTTAGGTGACGTTATCCCGTTTCCAACGAAATCCTTAGAGAGGTCCAAATATCCACCAGCAGAGTCTACAAAAAGTGTGTTTCAAAACTGCTCCACCCAAAGGAATGTTCAGCTCTGTGAGTTGAACTCAATCATCCCAAAGTATTTCCTGAGAATGCTTCTGTCCAGTTTTTACATGAAGCTGTTTCCTTTACTACCGTAGGCCTCAAAGCGTTCCAAACCTCCACTTGCAGATACTACGAAAAGAGCGTTTCAACCTGAACTCACAAGGGAAGGTTCAACTCTGTCAGTTGAATGCCAACGTCACCAAGAACTTCTGAGAATGTTCCTCTTCAGTTATGTGAGGTTTATCCCGTTTCCAACGAAATTCTCAGAGAAGTCCCAAAATCCACTTGCATATTCTACAAAAGGTGTGTCTTGAAAATGCGCCATCAAAAGATATGCTCAGCTCTGTGAGTTAAACTCAATCATCGCAAAGAATTGTCTGAGAATGCTTCTGTCTTGTTTTCAGATGAAGTTCTTTCCTTTACTACGATAGGCCTCAAAGAGGTCCAAATCTCCACTTGCAGATTCTGCAGAAGGAGTGTTTCAAACCTGAACTGTCAGAGAAAGGTTCAACACTGTGAATTGAATGCAAGCATCACGAAGAAGGTTCTGAGAATGCCTCTGTTTACGTAGGTGAGTTTTCTCCCGTATCCAGGGAAATCCTCAGAGCGGTCCAAATCTCCACTTGCAGATTCTACACAAAGTGTGTTTGGAAACTGCTCCAACCAAAGGAATGTTCAGCTCTGTGAGTTGAACTCAATCGTCACAAAGTGTTTCCTGGGAATGCTACTGTCTCGTTTTTATGTGCAGTTTTATCCTCTACTGCCATAGGCCTCAAAGCGGTCCAAATCTCCCCTTTCAGATTCTACCGAAAGTGTGTTTCCAAACGGCTCCATCAAAGGGAATGTTCAGCTCGGTGACTTGAAAGCAATCATCACAAAGCAGCTTCTGAGAATGCTTCCATGTAGCTTTCATGAGAAGATATTTCCTTTTCCACCCCAGGCCTCGAAGCCCTCCAAATGTCCCCTTGCAGATGCTAGAAAGAGAGGGTTTCAAAGCTGCTCTATCAAAAGGAAAGTACAACTCTGCGAGTTGAATGCAAACATCACAAAGAAGTTCCTGAGCATGCTTCCGTTTAGCTTTTACGGGAAGATTATCCCTTTTCCATCGAAATGTTCAAAGAGGTCCACATATCTGCTTGCAGATTCCACCGAAAGAGTGTTTCCAAACTGCTGCATCAAAAGGAATCCTCAGCTCCGTGAGTTGAATGCAATCATCACCAAGAAGTTTCTGACAATGCTTCTCTCTAGTTTTTATGTGAAGATATTTCCTTTTCCACCGCAGGCCTGAAAGCGCTCCAAATGTCCACTTGGAGGCTCTACGAAAAGAATGTTTCAAAACTGCTCTATGAAAAGCAATGTTATACTCGGGGAGTTGAACACAAGCCTCACAAAGGAGTTTCTGAGAATGCTTCTGTTTACTTTTTACGTGAGGATATTCCCGTTTCCAAAGAAGTCTTCACAGAGTTCCACCTATCCATATGCAGATGCTAGCAAAAGAGAGTTTCAAAACTGCTCCATCAAAAGGAATGTTTAACTCTGTGAGTTGCATGCAATCATCACAGAGAAGTTTCTGAGAATGCTTCTGTCTAGATTTTATGTGAAGATATGGCCGTTTCGAACGAAGGCCACAAAGCGCTCCCAATATCCACTTGCAGGTCCTCCAAAAAGAGTGTTTCAAAGGTGAACTACCAAAGGAAGGCTCAAATCTGGACTTTGAATGCCAACGTCAGAAGGATGTTTCTGCGAAAGCTTCTGTTTAGTTAGGTGACGTTATCCCGTTTCCAACGAAATCCTCAGAGAGGTCCAAATATCCACCTGCAGAGTCTACAAAAAGTGTGTTTCAAAACTGCTCCACCCAAAGGAATGTTCAGCTCTGTGAGTTCAACTCAATCATCCCAAAGTATTTTCTGAGAATGCTTCTGTCCAGTTTTTACATGAAGCTGTTTCCTTTACTACCGTAGGCCTCAAAGCGTTCCAAACCTCCACTTGCAGATACTACGAAAAGAGCGTTTCAACCTGAACTCACAAGGGAAGGTTCAACTCTGTCAGTTGAATGCCAACATCACCAAGCAGTTCTGAGAATGTTCCTCTTCAGTTACGTGAGGTTTATCCCGTTTCCAACGAAATTCTCAGAGAAGTCCCAAAATCCACTTGCATATTCCACAAAAGGTGTGTTTGGAAAATGCGCCATCAAAAGATATGCTCAGCTCTGTGAGTTAAACTCAATCATCGCCAAGAATTTTCTGAGAATGCTTCTGTCTTGTTTTTAGATGAAGTTCTTTCCTTTACTACGATAGGCCTCAAAGAGGTCCAAATCTCCACTTGCAGATTCTGCAGAAGGAGTGTTTCAAACCTGAACTATGAGAGAAAGGTTCAACACTGTGAGATGAATGCAAGCATCACAAAGAAGTTTCTGAGAATGCTTCTGTTTACGTAGGTGACTTTTCTCCCGTATCCAACGAAACCCTCAGAGCGGTCCAAATCTCCACTTGCAGATTCTACACAAAGTGTGTTTGGAAACTACTCCACCCAAGGGAATGTTCAGCTCTGTGAGTTGAACTGAATGGTCACAAAGCGTTTCCTGGGAATGCTCCTGTCTCGCTTTCATGTGCAGTTATATCCTCTACTGCCATAGGCCTCAAAGCGGTCCAAATCTCCCCTTTCAGATTCTACCAAAAGTGTGTTTCCAAACGGCCCCATCAAAGGGGATGTTCAACTCGGTGACTTGAATGCAATCATCACAAAGCAGCTTCTGAGAATGCTTCCATGTAGCTTTGATGAGAAGATATTTCCTTTTCCACCCCAGGCCTCGAAGCCCTCCAAATGTCCCCTTGCAGATGCTAGAAAGAGAGGGTTTCAAAGCTGCTCTATCAAAAGGAAAGTACAACTCTGCGAGTTGAATGCAAACATCACAAAGAAGTTCCTGAGCATGCTTCCGTTTAGCTTTTATGGGAAGATTATCCCTTTTCCATCGAAATGTTCAAAGAGGTCCACATATCCGCTTGCAGATTCCACCGAAAGAGTGTTTCCAAACTGCTGCATCAAAAGGAATCCTCAGCTCCGTGAGTTGAATGCAATCATCACCAAGAAGTTTCTGACAATGCTTCTCTCTAGTTTTTATGTGAAGATATTTCCTTATCCACCACAGGCCTGAAAGGGCTCCAAATGTCCACTTGGAGGCTCTACGAAAAGAATATTTCAAAACTGCTCCATGAAAAGCCATGTTATACTCTGGGAGTTGAACACAAGCCTCACAAAGGAGTTTCTGAGAATGCTTCTGTTTACTTTTTACGTGAAGATATTCCCGTCTCCAAAGAAGTCTTCACAGAGTTACACCTATCCATTTGCAGATGCCAGCAAAACTAGAGAGTTTCAAAACTGCTCTATCAAAAGGAATGTTCAACTCTGTGAGTTGCGTGCAATCATCACAGAGAAGTTTCTGAGAAGGCTTCTGTCTAGATTTTATGTGAAGATATAGCCGTTTCGAACGAAGGCCACAAAGTGCTCCAAATATCCACTTGCAGGTCCTCCAAAAAGAGTGTTTCAAACGTGAACTACCAAAGGAAGGCTCAACTCGGGACTTTGAAGACCAACGTCAGAAGGATGTTTCTGCGGAGGCTTCTGTTTAGTTAGGTGACGTTATCCCGCTTCCAACGAAATCCTCAGAGAGGTCCAAATATTCACCTGCAGAGTCTCCAAAAGTGTGTTTCAAAACTGCTCCACCCAAAGGAATGTTCAGCTCTGTGAGTTGAACTCAATCATCCCAAAGTATTTTCTGAGAATGCTTCTGTCCAGTTTTTACATGAAGCTGTTTCCTTTACTACCGTAGGCCTCAAAGCATTCCAAACCTCCACTTGCAGATACTACGAAAAGAGCGTTTCAACCTGAACTCACAAGGGAAGGTTCAACTCTGCCAGTTGAATGCCAACATCACCAAGAACTTCTGAGAATGTTCCTCTTCAGTTATGTGAGGTTTATCCCGTTTCCCACGAAATTCTCAGAGAAGTCCCAAAATCCACTTGCATATTCCACAAAAGGTGTGTTTGGAAAATGCGCCATCAAAAGATATGCTCAGCTCTGTGAGTTAAACTCAATCATCGCAAAGAATTTTCTGAGAATGCTTCCGTCTTGTTTTTAGATGAAGTTCTTTCCTTTACTACCACAGGCCTCAAAGAGGTCCAAATCTCCACTGGCAGATTCTGCAGAAGGAGTGTTTCAAACCTGAACTGTCAGAGAAAGGTTCAACACTGTGAGTTGAATGCAAACATCACGAAGAAGGTTCTGAGAATGCTTCTGTTTACGTAGGTGAGTTCTCTCCCGTATCCAACGAAATCCTCAGAGGGGTCCAAATCTCCTCTTGCAGATTCTACACAAAGTGTGTTTGGAAACTGCTCCATCCAAAGGAATGTTCAGCTCTGTGAGTTGCACTCAATCGTCACAAAGTGTTTCCTGGGAATGCTACTGTCTCGTTTTTATGTGCAGTTATATCCTCTACTGCCATAGGCCTCAAAGCTGTCCAAATATCCCCTTTAGGATTCTACCAAAATTGTGTTTCCCAACGGCTCCATCAAAGGGAATGTTCAGCTCGGTGACTTGAAAGCAATCATCACAAAGCAGCTTCTGAGAATGCTTCCATGTAGCTTTGATGAGAAGATATTTCCTTTTCCACCCCAGGCCTCGAAGCCCTCCAAATGTCCCCTTGCAGATGCTAGAAAGAGGGGGTTTCAAAGCTGCTCTATCAAAAGGAAAGTACAACTCTGTGAGTTGAATGCAAACATCACAAGGAAATTCCTGAGCATGCTTCCGTTTAGCTTTTACGGGAAGATTATCCCTTTTCCATAGAAATGTTCAAAGAGGTCCACATATCCGCTTGCAGATTCCACCGAAAGAGTGTTTCCAAACTGCTGCATCAAAAGGAATCCTCAGCTCCGTGAGTTGAATGCAATCATCACCAAGAAGTTTCTGACAATGCTTCTCTCTAGTTTTTATGTGAAGATATTTCCTTATCCACCACAGGCCTGAAAGGGCTCCAAATGTCCACTTGGAGGCTCTACGAAAAGAATGTTTCAAAACTGCTCCATGAAAAGCAATGTTATACTCTGGGAGTTGAACACAAGCCTCACAAAGGAGTTTCAGGAAATGCTTCTGTTTACTTTTTACGTGAGGATATTCCCGTTTCCAAAGAAGTCTTCACAGATTTCCACCTATCCATTTGCAGATGCCAGGAAAACTAGAGAGTTTCAAAACTGCTCTATCAAAAGGAATGTTCAACTCTGTGAGTTGCGTGCAATCGTCACAGAGAAGTTTCTGAGAAGGCTTCTGTCTAGATTTTATGTGAAGATATAGCCGTTTCGAACGAAGGCCACAAAGTGCTCCAAATATCCACTTGCAGGTCCTCCAAAAAGAGTGTTTCAAACGTGAACTACCAAAGGAAGGCTCAACTCGGGACTTTGAAGGCCAACGTCAGAAGGATGTTTCTGCGGAAGCTTCTGTTTAGTTAGGTGACCTTATCCCGTTTCCAACGAAATCCTTAGAGAGTTCCAAATATCCACCTGCAGAGTCTACAAAAAGTGTGTTTCCAAACTGCTCCACCCAAAGGAAAGTTCAGCTCTGTGAGTTGAACTCAATCATCCCAAAGTAGTTTCTGAGAATGCTTCTGTCCAGTTTTTACATGAAGCTGTTTCCTTTACTACCGTAGTCCTCAAAGCGTTCCAAATCTCCACTTGCAGATAGTACGAAAAGAGCGTTTCAACCTGAACTCACAAGGGAAGGTTCAACTCTGTCAGTTGAATGCCAACATCACCAAGAAGTTCTGAGAATGTTCCTCTTCAGTTATGTGAGGTTTATCCCGTTTCCAACGAAATTCTCGGAGAAGTCCCAATATCCACTTGCATATACTACAAAACGTGTGTTTTGAAAATGCTCCATCAAAAGACCTGCTGAGCTCTGTGAGTTAAACTCAATCATCGCAAAGAATTTTCTGAGAATGCTTCCGTCTTGTTTTTAGATGAAGTTCTTACCTTTACTACAATAGGCCTCAAAGAGGTCCAAATCTCCACTTGCAGATTCTGCAGAAGGAGTGTTTCAAACCTGAACTGTCAGAGAAAGGTTCAACACTGTGAGTTGAATGCAAGCATCACGAAGAAGGTTCTGAGAATGCTTCTGTTTACGTAGGTGACTTTTCTCCCGTATCCAGCGAAATCCTCAGAGCGGTCCAAATCTCCACTTGCAGATTCTACACAAAGTGTGTTTGGAAACTGCTCCACCCAAAGGAATGTTCAGCTCTGTGAGTTGAACTCAATCGTCACAAAGCGTTTCCTGGGAATGCTCCTGTCTCGCTTTTATGTGCAGTTATATCCTCTACTGCCATAGGCCTCAAAGCGGTCCAAATCTCCCCTTTCAGATTCTACCAGAAGTGTGTTTCCAAATGGCCCCATCAAAGGGGATGTTCAACTCAGTGACTTGAATGCAATCATCACAAAGCAGCTTCTGAGAATGCTTCCATGTAGCTTTGATGAGAAGATATTTCCTTTTCCACCCCAGGCCTCGAAGCCCTCCAAATGTCCCCTTGCAGATGCTAGAAAGAGAGGGTTTCAAAGCTGCTCTATCAAAAGGAAAGTACAACTCTGCGAGTTGAATGCAAACATCACAAAGAAGTTCCTGAGCATGCTTCCGTTTAGCTTTTACGGGAAGATTATCCCTTTTCCATCGAAATGTTCAAAGAGGTCCACATATCCGCTTGCAGATTCCACTGAAAGAGTGTTTCCAAACTGCTGCATCCAAAGGAATCCTCAGCTCCGTGAGTTGAATGCAATCATCACCAAGAAGTTTCTGACAATGCTTCTCTCTAGTTTTTATGTGAAGATATTTCCTTTTCCACCACAGGCCTGAAAGCGCTCCAAATGTCCACTTGGAGGCTCTACGAAAAGAATGTTTCAAAACTGCTCTATGAAAAGCAATGTTATACTCTGGGAGTTGAACACAAGCCTCACAAAGGAGTTTCTGAGAATGCTTCTGTTTACTTTTTACGTGAGGATATTCCCGTTTCCAAAGAAGTCTTCACAGAGTTCCACTTATACATTTGCAGATGCTAGCAAAAGAGAGTTTCAAAACTGCTCCATCAAAAGGAATTTTCAACTCTGTGTGTTGCATGCAATCATCACAGAGAAGTTTCTGAGAAGGCTTCTGTCTAGATTTTATGTGAAGATATAGCCGTTTCGAACGAAGGCCACAAAGTGCTCCAAATATCCACTGGCAGGTCCTCCAAAAAGAGTGTTTCAAACGTGAACTACCAAAGGAAGGCTCAACTCTGGACTTTGAATGCCAACGTCAGAAAGATGTTTCTGCGAAAGCTTCTGTTTAGTTAGGTGACGTTATCCCGTCTCCAACGAAATCCTCAGAGAGGTCCAAATATCCACCTGCAGAGTCTACAAAAAGTGTGTTTCAAAACTGCTCCACCCAAAGGAATGTTCAGCTCTGTGAGTTGAACTCAATCATCCCAAAGTATTTTCTGAGAATGCTTCTGTCCAGTTTTTACATGAAGCTGTTTCCTTTACTACCGTAGGCCTCAAAGCGTTCCAAACCTCCACTTGCAGATACTACGAAAAGAGCGTTTCAACCTGAACTCACAAGGGAAGGTTCAACTCTGTCAGTTGAATGCCAACATCACCAAGAACTTCTGAGAATGTTCCTCTTCAGTTATGTGAGTTTTATCCCGTTTCCAACGAAATTATCAGAGAAGTCCCAAAAACCACTTGCATATTCCACAAAAGGTGTGTGTTGAAAATGCGCCATCAAAAGATATGCTCAGCTCTGTGAGTTCAACTCAATCATCACAAAGAATTTTCTGAGAATGCTTCTGTCTTGTTTTTAGATGAAGTTCTTTCCTTTACTACGATAGGCCTCAAAGAGGTCCAAATCTCCACTTGCAGATTCTGCAGAAGGAGTGTTTCAAACCTGAACTGTCAGAGAAAGGTTCAACACTGTGAGTTGAATGCAAGCATCGCGAAGAAAGTTCTGAGAATGCTTCTGTTTACGTAGGTGACTTTTCTCCCGTATCCAACGAAATCCTCAGAGCGGTCCAAATCTCCACTTGAAGATTCTACACAAAGTGTGTTTGGAAACTGCTCCACCCAAAGGAATGTCCAGCTCTGTGAGTTGAACTCAATGGTCACAAAGCGTTTCCTGGGAATGCTCCTGACTCGCTTTCATGTGCAGTTATATCCTCTACTGCCATAGGCCTCAAAGCGGTCCAAATCTCCCCTTTCAGATTCTACCAAAAGTGTGTTTCCAAACGGCCCCATCAAAGGGGATGTTCAACTCGGTGACTTGAATGCAATCATCAGAAAGCAGGTTCTGAGAATGCTTCCATGTAGCTTTGATGAGAAGATATTTCCTTTTCCACCCCAGGCCTCGAAGCCCTCCAAATGTCCCCTTGCAGATGCTAGAAAGAGGGGGTTTCAAAGCTGCTCTATCAAAAGGAAAGTACAACTCTGTGAGTTGAATGCAAACATCACAAGGAAGTTCCTGAGCATGCTTCCGTTTAGCTTTTACGGGAAGATTATCCCTTTTCCATCGAAATGTTTAAAGAGGTCCACATATCCGCTTGCAGATTCCACACAAAGAGTGTTTCCAAACTGCTGCATCCAAAGGAATCCTCAGCTCCGTGAGTTGAATGCAATCATCACCAAGAAGTTTCTGACAATGCTTCTCTCTAGTTTTTATGTGAAGATATTTCCTTTTCCACCGCAGGCCTGAAAGCGCTCCAAATGTCCACTTGGAGGCTCTACGAAAAGAATGTTTCAAAACTGCTCTATGAAAAGCAATGTTATACTCTGGGAGTTGAACACAAGCCTCACAAAGGAGTTTCTGAGAATGCTTCTGTTTACTTTTTACGTGAGGATATTCCCGTTTCCAAAGAAGTCTTCACAGAGTTCCACCTATCCATTTGCAGATGCTAGCAAAAGAGAGTTTCAAAACTGCTCCATCAAAAGGAATTTTCAACTCTGTGAGTTGCATGCAATCATCACAGAGAAGTTTCTGAGAAGGCTTCTGTCTAGATTTTATGTGAAGATATGGCCGTTTCGAACGAAGGCCACAAAGCGCTCCCAATATCCACTTGCAGGTCCTCCAAAAAGAGTGTTTCAAACGTGAACTAACAAAGGAAGGCTCAACTCTGGACTTTGAATGCCAACGTCAGAAGGATGTTTCTGCGAAAGCTTCTGTTTAGTTAGGTGACGTTATCCCGTTTCCAACGAAATCCTCAGAGAGGTCCAAATATCCACCTGCGGAGTCTACAAAAAGTGTGTTTCCAAACTGCTCCACCCAAAGGAATGTTCAGCTCTGTGAGTTGAACTCAATCGTCCCAAAGTATTTTCTGAGAATGCTTCTGTCCAGTTTTTACATGAAGCTGTTTCCTTTACTACCGTAGGCCTCAAAGCGTTCCAAACCTCCACTTGCAGATCCTACGAAAAGAGCGTTTCAACCTGAACTCACAAGGGAAGGTTCAACTCTGTCAGTTGAATGCCAACATCACCAAGAAGTTCTGAGAATGTTCCTCTTCAGTTATGTGAGGTTTATCCCGTTTCCAACGAAATTCTCAGAGAAGTCCCAAAATCCACTTGCATATTCTACAAAAGGTGTGTTTTGAAAATGCGCCATCAAAAGATATGCTCAGCTCTGTGAGTTAAACTCAATCATCGCAAAGAATTTTCTGAGAATGCTTCCGTCTTGTTTTTAGATGAAGTTCTTTCCTTTACTATGATAGGCCTCAAGGAGGTCCAAATCTCCACTTGCAGATTCTGCAGAAGGAGTGTTTCAAACCTGAACTGTCAGAGAAAGGTTCAACACTGTGAGTTGAATGCAAGCATCACGAAGAAGGTTCTGAGAATGCTTCCGTTTACGTATGTGAGTTCTCTCCCGTATCCAACGAAATCCTCAGAGCGGTCCGAATCTCCACTTGCAGATTCTACACAAAGTGTGTTTGGAAACTGCTCCATCCAAAGGAATGTTCATCTCCGTGAGTTGAACTCAATCGTCACAAAGTGTTTCCTGGGAATGCTACAGTCTCGTTTTTATGTGCAGTTATATCCTCTACTGCCATAGGCCTCAAAGCGGTCCAAATCTCCCCTTTCAGATTCTACCAAAAGTGTGTTTCCAAACGGCTCCATCAAAGAGAATGTTCAGCTCGGTGACTTGAAAGCAATCATCACAAAGCAGCTTCTGAGAATGCTTCCATGTAGCTTTGATGAGAAGATATTTCCTTTTCCACCCCAGGCCTCGAAGCCCTCCAAATGTCCCCTTGCAGATGCTAGAAAGAGGGGGTTTCAAAGCTGCTCTATCAAAAGGAAAGTACAACTCTGTGAGTTGAATGCAAACATCACAAGGAAGTTCCTGAGCATGCTTCCGTTTAGCTTTTACGGGAAGATTGTCCCTTTTCCATCGAAATGTTCAAAGAGGTCCACATATCCGCTTGCAGATTCCACCGAAAGAGTGTTTCCAAACTGCTGCATCCAAAGGAATCCTCAGCTCCGTGAGTTGAGTGCAATCATCGCCAAGAAGTTTCTGACAATGCGTCTCTCTAGTTTTTATGTGAAGATATTTCCTGTTCCACCACAGGCCTGAAAGCGCTCCAAATGTCCACTTGGAGGCTCTACGAAAAGAATGTTTCTAAACTGCTCTATGAAAGGCAATGTTATACTCTGGGAGTTGAACACAAGCCTCACAAAGGAGTTTCTGAGAATGCTTCTGTTTACTTTTTACGTGAGGATATTCCCGTTTCCAAAGAAGTCTTCACAGAGTTCCACCTATACATTTGCAGATGCTAGTAAAAGAGAGTTTCAAAACTGCTCCATCAAAAGGAATGTTCAACTCTGTGAGTTGCATGCAATCATCACAGAGAAGTTTCTGAGAAGGCTTCTGTCTAGATTTTATGTGAAGATACGGCCGTTTCGAACGAAGGCCACAAAGCGCTCCCAATATCCACTTGCAGGTCCTCCAAAAAGAGTGTTTCAAACGTGAACTACCAAAGGAAGGCTCAACTCTGGACTTTGAATGCCAACGTCAGAAGGATGTTTCTGCGAAAGCTTCTGTTTAGTTAGGTGACGTTATCCCGTTTCCAACGAAATCCTCAGAGAGGTTCAAATATCCACCTGCAGAGTCTACAAAAAGTGTGTTTCAAAACTGCTCCACCCAAAGGAATGTTCAGCTCTGTGAGTTGAACTCAATCATCCCAAAGTATTTTCTGAAAATGCTTCTGTCCACTTTTTACATGAAGCTGTTTCCTTTACTACCGCAGGCCTGAAAGCGTTCCAAACCTCCACTTGCAGATACTACGAAAAGAGCGTTTCAACCTGAACTCACAAGGGAAGGTTCAACTCTGTCAGTTGAATGCCAACATCACCAAGAACTTCTGAGAATGTTCCTCTTCAGTTACGTGAGGTTTATCCCGTTTCCAAAGAAATTCTCAGAGAAGTCCCAAAATCCACTTGCATATTCCACAAAAGGTGTGTTTGGAAAATGCGCCATCAAAAGATATGCTCAGCTCTGTGAGTTAAACTCAATCATCGCAAAGAATTTTCTGAGAATGCTTCCGTCTTGCTTTTAGATGAAGTTCTTTCCTTTACAATGATAGGCCTCAAGGAGGTCCAAATCTCCACTTGCAGATTCTGCAGAAGGAGTGTTTCAAACCTGAACTGTCAGAGAAAGGTTCAACACTGTGAGTTGAATGCAAGCATCACGAAGAAGGTTCCGAGAATGCTTCTGTTTACGTAGGTGACTTTTCTCCCAAATCCAACGAAATCCTCAGAGCGGTCCAAATCTCCACTTGCAGATTCTACACAAAGTGTGTTTGGAAACTGCTCCATCCAAAGGAATGTTCAGCTCTGTGAGTTGTACTCAATCGTCACAAAGTGTTTCCTGGGAATGCTCCTGTCTCGTTTTTATGTGCAGTTATATCCTCTACTGCCATAGGCCTCAATGCGGTCCAAATCTCCCCTTTCAGATCCTACCAAAAGTGTGTTTCCAAACGGCTCCATCAAAGGGAATGTTCAACTCGGTGACTTGAATGCAATCATCACAAAGCAGCTTCTGAGAATGCTTCCATGTAGCTTTCATGAGAAGATATTTCCTTTTCCACCCCAGGCCTCGAAGCCCTCCAAATGTCCCCTTGCAGATGCTAGAAAGAGAGGGTTTCAAAGCTGCTCTATCAAAAGGAAAGTACAACTCTGCGAGTTGAATGCAAACATCACAAAGAAGTTCCTGAGCATGCTGCCGTTTAGCTATTACGGGAAGATTATCCCTTTTCTAACGAAATGTTCAAAGAGGTCCACATATCCGCTTGCAGATTCCACAGAAAGAGTGGTTCCAAACTGCTGCATCAAAAGGAATCCTCACCTCCGTGAGTTGAATGCAATCATCACCAAGAAGTTTCTGACAATGCTTCTCTCTAGTTTTTATGTGAAGATATTTCCTTTTCCACCACAGGCCTGAAAGCACTCCAAATGTCCACTTGGAGGCTCTACGAAAAGAATGTTTCAAAACTGCTCTATGAAAAGCAATATTATACTCTGCGAGTTGAACACAAGCCTCACAAAGGAGTTTCTGAGAATGCTTCTGTTTACTTTTTACGTGAGGATATTCCCGTTTCCAAAGAAGTCTTCACAGAGTTCCACCTACCCATTTGCAGATGCTAGCAAAAGAGAGTTTCAAAACTGCTCTGTCAAAAGGAATGTTCAACTCTGTGAGTTGCATGCAATCATCACAGAGAAGTTTCTGAGAAGGCTTCTGTCTAGATTTTATGTGAAGATATGGCCGTTTCGAACGAAGGCCACAAAGTGCTCCCAATATCCACTTGCAGGTCCTCCAAAAAGAGTGTTTCAAACGTGAACTACCAAAGGAAGGCTCAACTCTGGACTTTGAATGCCAACGTCAGAAGGATGTTTCTGCGAAAGCTTCTGTTTAGTTAGGTGACGTTATCCCGTCTCCAACGAAATCCTCAGAGAGGTCCAAATATCCACCTGCAGAGTCTACAAAAAGTGTGTTTCAAAACTGCTCCACCCAAAGGAATGTTCAGCTCTGTGAGTTGAACTGAATCATCCCAAAGTATTTTCTGACAATGCTTCTGTCCAGTTTTTACATGAAGCTGTTTCCTTTACTACCGTAGGCCTCAAAGCGTTCCAAACCTCCACTTGCAGATACTACGAAAAGAGCGTTTCAACCTGAACTCACAAGGGAAGGTTCAACTCTGTCAGTTGAATGCCAACGTCACCAAGAACTTCTGAGAATGTTCCTCTTCAGTTATGTGAGGTTTATCCCGTTTCCAACGAAATTCTCAGAGAAGTCCCAATATCCACTTGCATATTCTACAAAACGTGTGTTTTGAAAATGCTCCATCAAAAGACCTGCTCAGCTCTGTGAGTTAAACTCAATCATCGCAAAGAATTTTCTGAGAATGCTTCTGTCTTGTTTTTAGATGAAGTTCTTTCCTTTACTACGACAGGCTTCAAAGAGGTCCAAATCTCCACTTGCAGATTCTGCAGAAGGAGTGTTTCAAACCTGAACTGTCAGAGAAAGGTTCAACACTGTGAGTTGAATGCAAGCATCACGAAGAAGGTTCTGAGAATGCTTCTGTTTACGTAGGTGACTTTTCTCCCGTATCCAACGAAATCCTCAGAGCGGTCCAAATCTCCACTTGCAGATTCTACACAAAGTGTGTTTGCAAACTGCTCCACCCAAAGGAATGTTCAGCTCTGTGAGTTGAACTCAATGGTCACAAAGCGTTTCCTGGGAATGCTCCTGTCTCGCTTTTATGTGCAGTTAAATCCTCTGCTGCCATAGGCCACAAAGCGGTCCAAATCTCCCCTTTCAGATTCTACCAAAAGTGTGTTTCCAAACGGCCCCATCAAAGGGGATGTTCAACTCGGTGACTTGAATGCAATCTTCACAAAGCAGCTTCTGAGAATGCTTCCATGTAGCTTTGATGAGAAGATATTTCCTTTTCCACGCCAGGCCACGAAGCCCTCCAAATGTCCCCTTGCAGATGCTAGAAAGAGGGGGTTTCAAAGCTGCTCTATCAGAAGGAAAGTACAACTCTGTGAGTTGAATGCAAACATCACAAGGAAGTTCCTGAGCATGCTTCCGTTTAGCTTTTACGGGAAGATTATCCCTTTTCCATCGAAATGTTCAAAGAGGTCCACATATCCGCTTGCAGATTCCACACAAAGAGTGTTTCCAAACTGCTGCATCCAAAGGAATCCTCAGCTCCGTGAGTTGAATGCAATCATCACCAAGAAGTTTCTGACAATGCTTCTCTCTAGTTTTTATGTGAAGATATTTCCTTTCCCACCGCAGGCCTGAAAGTGCTCCAAATGTCCACTTGGAGGCTCTACGAAAAGAATGTTTCAAAACTGCTCTATGAAAAGCAATGTTATACTCTGGGAGTTGAACACAAGCCTCACAAAGGAGTTTCTGAGAATGCTTCTGTTTACTTTTTACGTGAGGATATTCCCGTTTCCAAAGAAGTCTTCACAGAGTTCCACCTATCCATTTGCAGATGCTAGCAAAACTAGAGAGTTTCAAAACTGCTCTATCAAAAGGAATGTTCAACTCTGTGAGTTGCATGCAATCATCACAGAGAGGTTTCTGAGAAGGCTTCTGTCTACATTTTATGTGAAGATATAGCCGTTTCGAACGAAGGCCACAAAGTGCTCCAAATATCCACTTGCAGGTCCTCCAAAAAGAGTGTTTCAAACGTGAACTACCAAAGGAAGGCTCAACTCGGGACTTTGAAGGCCAACGTCAGAAGGATATTTCTGCGGAAGCTTCTGTTTAGTTAGGTGACGTTATCCCGTCTCCAACGAAATCCTCAGAGAGGTCCAAATATCCACCTGCAGAGTCTACAAAAAGTGTGTTTCAAAACTGCTCCACCCAAAGGAATGTTCAGCTCTGTGAGTTGAACTCAATCATCCCAAAGTATTTTCTGAGAATGCTTCTGTCCAGTTTTTACATGAAGCTGTTTCCTTTACTACCGTAGGCCTCAAAGCGTTCCAAACCTCCACTTGCAGATACTACGAAAAGAGCGTTTCAACCTGAACTCACAAGGGAAGGTTCAACTCTGTCAGTTGAATGCCAACGTCACCAAGAACTTCTGAGAATGTTCCTCTTCAGTTACGTGAGGTTTATCCCGTTTCCAACGAAATTCTCAGAGAAGTCCCAAAATCCACTTGCATATTCCACAAAAGGTGTGTTTGGAAAATGCGCCATCAAAAGATATGCTCAGCTCTGTGAGTTAAACTCAATCATCGCAAAGAATTTTGCTGAGAATGCTTCCGTCTTGTTTTTAGATGAAGTTCTTTCCTTTACTACGATAGGCCTCAAGGAGGTCCAAATGTCCACTTGCAGATTCTGCAGAAGGAGTGTTTCAAACCTGAACTGTCAGAGAAAGGTTCAACACTGTGAGTTGAATGCACGCATCACGAAGAAGGTTCTGAGAATGCTTCTGTTTACGTAGGTGACTTTTCTCCCGTATCCAACGAAATCCTCAGAGCGGTCCAAATCTCCACTTGCAGATTCTACACAAGGTGTGTTTGGAAACTGCTTCACCCAAAGGAATGTTCAGCTCTGTGAGTTGAACTCAATCGTCACAGAGCGTTTCCTGGGAATGCTCCTGTCTCGCTTTTATGTGCAGTTATATCCTCTACTGCCATAGGCCTCAAAGCGGTCCAAATCTCCCCTTTCAGATTCTACCAAAAGTGTGTTTCCAAACGGCCCCATCAAAGGGGATGTTCAACTCGGTGACTTGAATGCAATCATCACAAAGCAGCTTCTGAGAATGCTTCCATGTAGCTTTGATGAGAAGATATTTCCTTTTCCTCCCCAGGCCTCGAAGCCCTCCAAATGTCCCCTTGCAGATGCTAGAAAGAGGGGGTTTCAAAGTAGCTCTATCAAAAGGAAAGTACAGCTCTGTGAGTTGAATACAAACGTCACAAGGAAGTTCCTGAGCATGGTTCCGTTTAGCTTTTACGGGAAGATTATTCCATTTCCATCGAAATGTTCAAAGAGGTCCGCATATCCGCTTGCAGATTCCACCGAAAGAGTGTTTCCAAACTGCTGCATCAAAAGGAATCCTCAGCTCCGTGAGTTGAATGCAATCATCACCAAGAAGTTTCTGACAATGCTTCTCACTAGTTTTTATGTGAAGATATTTCCTTTTCCACCGCAGGCCTGAAAGCGCCCCAAATGTCCACTTGGAGGCTCTACGAAAAGAACGTTTCAAAACTGCTCTATGAAAAGCAATGTTATACTCTGGGAGTTGAACACAAGCCTCACAAAGGAGTTTCTGAGAATGCTTCTGTTTACTTTTTACGTGAGGATATTCCCGTTTCCAAAGAAGTTTTCACAGAGTTCCACCTATCCATTTGCAGATGCCAGCAAAACTAGAGAGTTTCAAAACTGCACTATCAAAAGGAATGTTCAACTCTGTGAGATGCATGCAATCATCACAGAGAAGTTTCTGAGAATGCTTCTGTCTAGATTTTATGTGAAGATACAGCCGTTTCGAACGAAGGCCACAAAGTGCTCCAAATATCCACTTGCAGGTCCTCCAAAAAGAGTGTTTCAAACGTGAACTACCAAAGGAAGGCTCAACTCTGGACTTTGAATGCAAACGTCAGAAAGATTTTTCTGCGAAAGCTTCTGTTTAGTTAGGTGACGTTATCCCGTCTCCAACGAAATCCTCAGAGAGGTCCAAATATCCACCTGCAGAGTCTACAAACAGTGTGTTTCAAAACTGCTCCACCCAAAGGAATGTTCAGCTCTGTGAGTTGAACTCAATCATCCCAAAGTATTTTCTGAGAGTTCTTCTGTCCAGTTTTTACATGAAGCTGTTTCCTTTACTACCGTAGGCCTCAAAGCGTTCCAAACCTCCACTTGCAGATACTACGAAAAGAGCGTTTCAACCTGAACTCACAAGGGAAGGTTCAACTCTGTCAGTTGAATGCCAACATCACCAAGAAGTTCTGAGAATGTTCCTCTTCAGTTATGTGAGGTTTATCCCGATTCCAACGAAATTCTCAGAGAAGTCCCAAAATCCACTTGCATATTCTACAAAAGGTGTTTTTGGAAAATGCGCCATCAAAAGATATGCTCAGGTCTGTGTGTTAAACTCAATCATCACAAATAATTTTCTGAGAATGCTTCTGTCTTGTTTTTAGATGAAGTTCTTTCGTTTACTACGATAGGCAACAAAGAGGTCCAAATCTCCACTTGCAGATTCTGCAGAAGGAGTGTTTCAAACCAGAACTGTCAGAGAAAGATTCAACACTGTGAGTTGAATGCAAGCATCACGAAGAAGGTTCTGAGAATGCTTCTGTTTACGTAGGTGAGTTTTCTCCCGTATCCAACGAAATCCTCAGAGCGGTCCAAATCTCCACTTGCAGATTCTACACAAAGTGTGTTTGGAAACTGCTCCATCCAAAGGAATGTTCAGCTCTGTGAGTTGAAGTCAATCATCCCAAAGTATTTTCTGAGAATGCTCCTGTTTCGCTTTTATGTGCAGTTATATCCTCTGCTGCCATAGGCCTCAAAGCGGTCCAAATATCCCCTTTCAGATTCTACCAGAAGTGTGTTTCCAAACGGCTCCATCAAAGGGAATGTTCAACTCGGTGACTTGAAAGCAATCATCACAAAGCAGCTTCTGAGAATGCTTCCATGTAGCTTTGATGAGAAGATATTTCCTTTTCCACCCCAGGCCTCGAAGCCCTCCAAATGTCCCCTTGCAGATGCTAGAAAGAGGGGGTTTCAAAGCTGCTCTATCAAAAGGAAAGTACAACTCTGCGAGTTGAATGCAAACATCACAAGGAAGTTCCTGAGCATGCTTCCGTTTAGCTTTTACGGGAAGATTATCCCTTTTCCATCGAAATGTTCAAAGAGGTCCACATATCCGCTTGCAGATTCCACCGAAAGAGTGTTTCCAAACTGCTGCATCCAAAGGAATCCTCAGCTTCGTGAGTTGAATGCAATCATCACCAAGAAGTTTCTGACAATGCTTCTCACTAGTTTTTATGTGAAGATATTTCCTTTTCCACCGCAGGCCTGAAAGCGCCCCAAATGTCCACTTGGAGGCTCTACGAAAAGAACGTTTCAAAACTGCTCTATGAAAAGCAATGTTATACTCTGGGAGTTGAACACAAGCCTCACAAAGGAGTTTCTGAGAATGCTTCTGTTTACTTTTTACGTGAGGATATTCCCGTTTCCAAAGAAGTTTTCACAGAGTTCCACCTATCCATTTGCAGATGCCAGCAAAACTAGAGAGTTTCAAAACTGCACTATCAAAAGGAATGTTCAACTCTGTGAGATGCATGCAATCATCACAGAGAAGTTTCTGAGAATGCTTCTGTCTACATTTTATGTGAAGATATAGCCGTTTCGAACGAAGGCCACAAAGTGCTCCAAATATCCACTTGCAGGTCCTCCAAAAAGAGTGTTTCAAACGTGAACTACCAAAGGAAGGCTCAACTCGGGACTTTGAAGGCCAACGTCAGAAGGATATTTCTGCGGAAGCTTCTGTTTAGTTAGGTGACGTTATCCCGTTTCCAACGAAATCCTCAGAGAGGTCCAAATATCCACCTGCAGAGTCTACAAAAAGTGTGTTTCAAAACTGCTCCACCCAAAGGAAGGTTCAGCTCTGTGAGTTGAACTCAATCATCCCAAAGTATTTTCTGAGAAGGCTTCTGTCCAGTTTTTACATGAAGCTGTTTCCTTTACTACCGTAGGCCTCAAAGCGTTCCAAACCTCCACTTGCAGATACTACGAAAAGAGCGTTTCAACCTGAACTCACAAGGGAAGGTTCAACTCTGTCAGTTGAATGCCAACGTCACCAAGAACTTCTGAGAATGTTCCTCTTCAGTTATGTGAGGTTTATCCCGTTTCCAACGAAATTCTCAGAGAAGTCCCAAAATCCACTTGCATATTCCACAAAAGGTGTGTTTGGAAATTGTGCCATCAAAAGATATGCTCAGCTCTGTGAGTTAAACTCAATCATTGCAAAGAATTTTCTGAGAATGCTTCCGTCTTGTTTTTAGATGAAGTTCTTTCCTTTACTAC
Organism: Homo sapiens; assembly: GCF_000001405.40. Classification (NCBI taxonomy): domain Eukaryota; kingdom Metazoa; phylum Chordata; class Mammalia; order Primates; family Hominidae; genus Homo; species Homo sapiens. The sequence goes on along the minus strand of NC_000001.11, from coordinate 122,201,750 downwards.
GATAGGCCTCAAGGAGGTCCAAATCTCCACTTGCAGATTCTGCAGAAGGAGTGTTTCAAACCTTAACTGTCAGAGAAAGTTTCAACACTGTGAGTTGAAAGCAAGCATCACGAAGAAGGTTCTGAGAATGCTTCTGTTTATGTAGGGGACTTTTCTCCCGTATCCAACGAAATCCTCAGAGCGGTCCAAATCTCCACTTGCAGATTCTACACAAAGTGTGTTTGGAAACTGCTCCACCCAAAGGTATGTTCAGCTCTGTGAGTTGAACTCAATGGTCACAAAGCGTTTCCTGGGAATGCTCCTGACTCGCTTTCATGTGCAGTTATATCCTCTACTGCCATAGGCCTCAAAGCGGTCCAAATCTCCCCTTTCAGATTCTACCAAAAGTGTGTTTCAAAACGGCCCCATCAAAGGGGATGTTCAACTCGGTGACTTGAATGCAATCATCAGAAAGCAGGTTCTGAGAATGCTTCCATGTAGCTTTGATGAGAAGATATTTCCTTTTCCACCCCAGGACTCGAAGCCCTCCAAATGTCCCCTTGCAGATGCTAGAAAGAGAGGGTTTCAAAGCTGCTCTATCAAAAGGAAAGTACAACTCTGCGAGTTGAATGCAAACATCACAAAGAAGTTCCTGAGCATGCTTCCGTTTAGCTTTTACGGGAAGATTATCCCTTTTCCATCGCAATGTTCAAAGATGTCCACATATCCGCTTGCAGATTCCACCGAAAGAGTGTTGCCAACCTGCTGCATCAAAAGGAATCCTCAGCTCCGTGAGTTTAATGCAATCATCACCAAGAAGTTTCTGACAATGCTTCTCTCTAGTTTTTATGTGAAGATATTTCCTTTTCCACCGCAGGCCTGAAAGCGCTCCAAATGTCCACTTGGAGGCTCTACGAAAAGAATGTTTCAAAACTGCTCTATGAAAAGCAATGTTATACTCTGGGAGTTGAACACAAGCCTCACAAAGGAGTTTCTGAGAATGCTTCTGTTTACTTTTTACGTGAGGATATTCCCGTTTCCAAAGAAGTCTTCACAGAGTTCCACCTATCCATTTGCAGATGCTAGCAAAAGAGAGTTTCAAAACTGCTCCATCAAAAGGAATGTTCAACTCTGTGAGTTGCATGCAATCATCACAGAGAAGTTTCTGAGAAGGCTTCTGTCTAGATTTTACGTGAAGATATAGCCGTTTCGAACGAAGGCCACAAAGTGCTCCAAATATCCACTTGCAGGTCCTCCGAAAAGAGTGTTTCAAACGTGAACTACCAAAGGAAGGCTCAACTCTGGACTTTGAATGCCAACGTCAGAAAGATGTTTCTGCGAAAGCTTCTGTTTTCTTAGGCGACGTTATCCCGTTTCCAGTGAAATCCTCAGAGAGGTCCAAATATCCACCTGCAGAGTCTACAAAAAGTTTGTTTCAAATCTGCTCCACCCAAAGGAATGTTCAGCTCTGTGAGTTGAACTCAATCATCCCAAAGTATTTTCTGAGAATGCTTCTGTCCAGTTTTTACATGAAGCTGTTTCCTTTACTACCGTAGGCCTCAAAGCGTTCCAAATCCCCACTTGCAGATAGTACGAAAAGAGCGTTTCAACCTGAACTCACAAGGGAAGGTTCAACTCTGTCAGTTGAATGCCAACATCACAAAGAAGTTCTGAGAATGTTCCTCTTCAGTTATGTGAGGTTTATCCCGTTTCCCACGAAATTCTCAGAGAAGTCCCAAAATCCACTTGCATATTCCACAAAAGGTGTGTTTGGAAAATGCCCCATCAAAAGATATGCTCAGCTCTGTGAGTTAAACTCAATCATCGCAAAGAATTTTCTGAGAATGCTTCCATCTTGTTTTTAGATGAAGTTCTTTCCTTTACTACGATAGGCCTCAAGGAGGTCCAAATGTCCACTTGCAGATTCTGCAGAAGGAGTGTTTCAAACCTGAACTGTCAGAGAAAGGTTCAACACTGTGAGTTGAATGCAAGCATCACGAAGAAGGTTCTGAGAATGCTTCTGTTTACGTATGTGGCTTTTCTCCCGTATCCAACGAAATCCTCAGAGCGGTCCAAATCTCCACTTGCAGATTCTACACAAAGTGTGTTTGGAAACTGCTCCATCCAAAGGAATATTCAGCTCCGTGAGTTGAACTCAATCGTCACAAAGCGTTTCCTGAGAATGCTACTGTCTCGTTTTTATGTGCAGTTATATCCTCTACTGCCATAGGCCTCAAAGCGGTCCAAATCTCCCCTTTCAGATTCTACCAAAAGTGTGTTTCCAAACGGCTCCATCAAAGGGAATGTTCAACTCGGTGACTTGAAAGCAATCATCACACAGCAGTTTCTGAGAATGCTTCCATGTAGCTTTGATGAGAAGATATTTCCTTTTCCACCCCAGGCCTCGAAGCCCTCCAAATGTCCCCTTGCAGATGCTAGAAAGAGGGGGTTTCAAAGCTGCTCTATCAGAAGGAAAGTACAACTCTGTGAGTTGAATGCAAACATCACAAGGAAGTTCCTGAGCATGCTTCCGTTTAGCTTTTACGGGAAGATTATCCCTTTTCCATCGAAATGTTCAAAGAGGTCCACATATCCGCTTGCAGATTCCACCGAAAGAGTGTTTCCAAACTGCTGCATCCAAAGGAATCCTCAGCTCCGTGAGTTGAATGCAATCATCACCAAGAAGTTTCTGACAATGCTTCTCTCTAGCTTTTATGTGAAGATATTTCCTTTTCCACCGCAGGCCTGAAAGCGCTCCAAATGTCCACTTGGAGGCTCTACTAAAAGAATGTTTCAAAACTGCTCTATGAAAAGCAATGTTATACTCTGGGAGTTGAACACAAGCCTCACAAAGGAGTTTCTGAGAATGCTTCTGTTTACTTTTTACGTGAGGATATTCCCGTTTCCAAAGAAGTCTTCACAGAGTTCCACCTATCCATTTGCAGATGCTAGCAAAAGAGAGTTTCAAAACTGCTCCATCAAAAGGAATGTTCAACTCTGTGAGTTGCATGCAATCATCACAGAAAAGTTTCTGAGAAGGCTTCTGTCTAGATTTTATGTGAAGATATAGCCGTTTCGAACGAAGGCCACAAAGTGCTCCAAATATCCACTTGCAGGTCCTCCAAAAAGAGTGTTTCAAACGTGAACTACCAAAGGAAGGCTCAACTCTGGACTTTGAATGCCAACGTCAGAAAGATGTTTCTGCGAAAGCTTCTGTTTAGTTAGGTGACGTTATCCCGTCTCCAACGAAATCCTCAGAGAGGTCCAAATATCCACCTGCAGAGTCTACAAAAAGTGTGTTTCAAAACTGCTCCACCCAAAGGAATGTTCAGCTCTGTGAGTTGAACTGAATCATCCCAAAGTATTTTCTGACAATGCTTCTGTCCAGTTTTTACATGAAGCTGTTTCCTTTACTACCGTAGGCCTCAAAGCGTTCCAAACCTCCACTTGCAGATACTACGAAAAGAGCGTTTCAACCTGAACTCACAAGGGAAGGTTCAACTCTGTCAGTTGAATGCCAACATCACCAAGAAGTTCTGAGAATGTTCCTCTTCAGTTACGTGAGGTTTATCCCGTTTCCAACGAAATTCTCGGAGAAGTCCCAAAATCCACTTGCATATTCCACAAAAGGTGTGTTTTGAAAATGCGCCATCAAAAGATATGCTCAGCTCTGTGAGTTAAACTCAATCATCGCAAAGTATTTTCTGAGAATGCTTCCGTCTTGTTTTTAGATGAAGTTCTTTCCTTTACTACGATAGGCCTCAAAGAGGTCCAAATCTCCACTTGCAGATTCTGCAGAAGGAGTGTTTCAAACCTGAACTGTCAGAGAAAGGTTCAACACTGTGAGTTGAATGCAAGCATCACGAAGAAGGTTCTGAGAATGCTTCTGTTTACGTAGGTGACTTTTCTCCCGTATCCAGCGAAATCCTCAGAGCGGTCCAAATCTCCACTTGCAGATTCTACACAAAGTGTGTTTGGAAACTGCTCCACCCAAAGGAATGTTCGGCTCTGTGAGTTGAACTCAATGGTCACAAAGCGTTTCCTGGGAATGCTCCAGTCTCGCTTTTATGTGCAGTTATATCCTCTACTGCCATAGGCCTCAAAGCGGTCCAAATCTCCCCGTTCAGATTCTACCAGAAATGTGTTTCCAAACGGCCCCATCAAAGGGGATGTTCAACTCGGTGACTTGAATGCAATCATCACAAAGCAGCTTCTGAGAATGCTTCCATGTAGCTTTGATGAGAAGATATTTCCTTTTCCACCCCAGGCCTCGAAGCCCTCCAAATGTCCCCTTGCAGATGCTAGAAAGAGGGGGTTTCAAAGCTGCTCTATCAAAAGGAAAGTACAACTCTCTGAGTTGAATGCAAACATCACAAGGAAGTTCCTGAGCATGCTTCCGTTTAGCTTTTACGGGAAGATTATCCCTTTTCCATCGAAATGTTCAAAGAGGTCCACATATCGGCTTGCAGATTCCACCGAAAGAGTGTTTCCAAACTGCTGCATCAAAAGGAATCCTCAGCTCCGTGAGTTGAATGCAATCATCACCAAGAAGTTTCTGACAATGCTTCTCTCTAGTTTTTATGTGAAGATATTTCCTGTTCCACCACAGGCCTGAAAGCGCTCCAAATGTCCACTTGGAGGCTCTACGAAAAGAATGTTTCAAAACTGCTCTATGAAAAGCAATGTTATACTCTGGGAGTTGAACACAAGCCTCACAAAGGAGTTTCTGAGAATGCTTCTGTTTACTTTTTACGTGAGGATATTCCCGTTTCCAAAGAAGTCTTCACAGAGTTCCACCTATCCATTTGCAGATGCTAGCAAAAGAGAGTTTCAAAACTGCTCTATCAAAAGGAATGTTCAACTCTGTGAGTTGCATGCAATCATCACAGAGAAGTTTCTGAGAAGGCTTCTGTCTAGATTTTATGTGAAGATATAGCCGTTTCGAACGAAGGCCACAAAGTGCTCCAAATATCCACTTGCAGGTCCTCCAAAAAGAGTGTTTCAAACGTGAACTACCAAAGGAAGGCTCAACTCTGGACTTTGAATGCCAACGTCAGAAGGATGTTTCTGCGAAAGCTTCTGTTTAGTTAGGCGACGTTATCTCGTTTCCAACGAAATCCTAGGAGAGGTCCAAATATCCACCAGCAGAGTCTGCAAAAAGTGTGTTTCAAAACTGCTCCACCCAAAGGAATATTCAGCTCTGTGAGTTGAACTCAATCATCCCAAAGTATTTCCTGAGAATGCTTCTGTCCAGTTTTTACATGAGGCTGTTTCCTTTACTACCGTAGGCCTCAAAGCGTTCCAAATCTCCACTTGCAGATGCTACGAAAAGAGCGTTTCAACCTGAACTCACAAGGGAAGGTTCACCTCTGTCAGTTGAATGTCAACATCACAAAGAAGTTCTGAGAATGTTCCTCTTCAGTTATGTGAGGTTTATCCCGTTTCCAACGAAATTCTCAGAGAAGTCCCAAAATCCTCTTTCATATTCTACAAAAGGCGTGTTTGAAAATGCGCCATCAAAAGATAGGCTCAGCTCTGTGAGTTAAACTCAATCATCACAAAGAATTTTCTGAGAATGCTTCTGTCTTGTTTTTAGATGAAGTTCTTTCCTTTACTACGATAGTCCTCAAAGAGGTCCAAATCTCCACTTGCAGATTCTGCAGAAGGAGTGTTTCAAACCTGAACTGTCAGAGAAAGGTTCAACACTGTGAGTTGAATGCAAGCATCACGAAGAAGGTTCTGAGAATGCTTCTGTTTACGTAGGTGAGTTTTCTCCCGTATCCAACGAAATCCTCAGAGCGGTCCAAATCTCCACTTGCAGATTCTACACAAAGTGTGTTTGGAAACTGCTCCTTCCAAAGGAATGTTCAGCTGTGTGAGTTGCACTGAATCGTCACAAAGTGTTTCCTGGGAATGCTCCTGTCTCGCTTTTATGTGCAGTCATATCCTCTACTGCCATAGGCCTCAAAGCGGTCCAAATCTCCCCTTCCAGATTCTACCAAAAGTGTGTTTCCAAACGGCCCCATCAAAGGGGATGTTCAACCCGGTGACTTGAATGCAATCATCACAAAGCAGCTTCTGAGAATGCTTCCATGTAGGTTTGATGAGAAGATATTTCCTTTTCCACCCCAGGCCTCGAAGCCCTCCAAATGTCCCCTTGCAGATGTTAGAAAGAGGGGGTTTCAAAGCTGCTCTATCAAAAGGAAAGTACAACTCTGTGAGTTGAATGCAAACATCACAAGGAAGTTCCTGAGCATGCTTCCGTTTAGCTTTTACGGGAAGATTATCCCTTTTCCATAGAAATGTTCAAAGAGGTCCACATATCCGCTTGCAGATTCCACCGAAAGAGTGTTTCCAAACTGCTGCATCAAAAGGAATCCTCAGCTCCGTGAGTTGAATGCAATCATCACCAAGAAGTTTCTGACAATGCTTCTCTCTAGTTTTTATGTGAAGATATTTCCTTATCCACCACAGGCCTGAAAGGGCTCCAAATGTCCACTTGGAGGCTCTACGAAAAGAATGTTTCAAAACTGCTCCATGAAAAGCAATGTTATACTCTGGGAGTTGAACACAAGCCTCACAAAGGAGTTTCTGAGAATGCTTCTGTTTACTTTTTACGTGAGGATATTCCCGTTTCCAAAGAAGTCTTCACAGAGTTCCACCTATCCATTTGCAGATGCTAGCAAAAGAGAGTTTCAAAACTGCTCCATCAAAAGGAATGTTCAACTCTGTGAGTTGCATGCAATCATCACAGAGAAGTTTCTGAGAAGGCTTCTGTCTAGATTTTACGTGAAGATATAGCCGTTTCGAACGAAGGCCACAAAGTGCTCCAAATATCCACTTGCAGGTCCTCCAAAAAGAGTGTTTCAAACGTGAGCTACCAAAGGAAGGCTCAACTCTGGACTTTGAAGGCCAACGTCAGAAGGATGTTTCTGCGAAAGCTTCTGTTTAGTTAGGTGACGTTATCCCGTTTCCAACGAAATCCTCAGAGAGGTCCAAATATCCACCTGCGGAGTCTACAAAAAGTGTGTTTCCAAACTGCTCCACCCAAAGGAATGTTCAGCTCTGTGAGTTGAACTCAATCGTCCCAAAGTATTTTCTGAGAATGCTTCTGTCCAGTGTTTACATGAAGCTGTTTCCTTTACTACCGTAGGCCTCAAAGCGTTCCAAACCTCCACTTGCAGATACTACGAAAAGAGCGTTTCAACCTGAACTCACAAGGGAAGGTTCAACTCTGTCAGTTGAATGCCAACATCACCAAGAACTTCTGAGAATGTTCCTCTTCAGTTACGTGAGGTTTATCCCGTTTCCAACGAAATTCTCAGAGAAGTCCCAAAATCCACTTGCATATTCCACAAAAGGTGTGTTTGGAAAATGCGCCATCAAAAGATATGCTCAGCTCTGTGAGTTAAACTCAATCATCGCAAAGAATTTTCTGAGAATGCTTCCGTCTTGTTTTTAGATGAAGTTCTTTCCTTTACTACGATAGGCCTCAAAGAGTTCCAAATCTCCACTTGCAGATTCTGCAGAAGGAGTGTTTCAAACCTGAACTGTCAGAGAAAGGTTCAACACTGTGAGTTGAATGCAAGCATCACGAAGAAGGATCTGAGAATGCTTCTGTTTATGTAGGGGACTTTTCTCCCGTATCCAACGAAATCCTCAGAGCGGTCCAAATCTCCACTTGCAGATTCTACACAAAGTGTGTTTGCAAACTGCTCCACCCAAAGGAATGTTCAGCTCTGTGAGTTGAACTCAATGGTCACAAAGCGTTTCCTGGGAATGCTCCTGTCTCGCTTTTATGTGCAGTTATATCCTCTACTGCCATAGGCCTCAAAGCGGTCCAAATCTCCCCTTTCAGATTCTACCAAAAGTGTGTTTCCAAACGGCCCCATCAAAGGGGATGTTCAACTCGGTGACTTGAATGCAATCATCACAAAGCAGCTTCTGAGAATGCTTCCATGTAGCTTTGATGAGAAGATATTTCCTTTTCCACCCCAGGCCTCGAAGCCCTCCAAATGTCCCCTTGCAGATGCTAGAAAGAGGGGGTTTCAAAGCTGCTCTATCAAAAGGAAAGTACAACTCTGTGAGTTGAATGCAAACATCACAAGGAAGTTCCTGAGCATGCTTCCGTTTAGCTTTTACGGGAAGATTATCCCTTTTCCATCGGAATGTTCAAAGAGGTCCACATATCCGCTTGCAGCTTCCACCGAAAGAGTGTTTCCATACTGCTGCATCAAAAGGAATCCTCAGCTCCGTGAGTTGAATGCAATCATCACCAAGAAGATTCTGAGAATGCTTCTCTCTAGTTTTTATGTGAAGATATTTCCTTAACCACCACAGGCCTGAAAGGGCTCCAAATGTCCACTTGGAGGCTCTATGAAAAGAATGTTTCAAAACTGCTCCATGAAAAGCAATGTTATACTCTGGGAGTTGAACACAAGCCTCACAAAGGAGTTTCTGAGATTGCTTCTGTTTACTTTTTACGTGAGGATATTCCCGTTTCCAAAGAAGTCTTCACAGAGTTCCACCTATCCATTTGCAGATGCTAGCAAAAGAGAGTTTCAAAACTGCTCCATCAAAAGGAATGTTCAACTCTGTGAGTTGCATGCAATCATCACAGAGAAGTTTCTGAGAAGGCTTCTGTCTAGATTTTATGTGAAGATATAGCCGTTTCGAACGAAGGCCACAAAGTGCTCCAAATATCCACTTGCAGGTCCTCCAAAAAGAGTGTTTCAAACGTGAACTACCAAAGGAAGGCTCAACTCTGGACTTTGAATGCCAACGTCAGAAAGATGTTTCTGCGAAAGCTTCTGTTTAGTTAGGTGACGTTATCCCGTTTCCAACGAAATCCTCAGAGAGGTCCAAATATCCACCTGCAGAGTCTACAAAAAGTGTGTTTCAAAACTGCTCCACCCAAAGGAATGTTCAGCTCTGTGAGTTGAACTCAATCATCCCAAAGTATTTTCTGAGAAGGCTTCTGTCCAGTTTTTACATGAAGCTGTTTCCTTTACTACCGTAGGCCTCAAAGCGTTCCAAACCTCCACTTGCAGATACTACGAAAAGAGCGTTTCAACCTGAACTCACAAGGGAAGGTTCAACTCTGTCAGTTGAATGCCAACGTCACCAAGAACTTCTGAGAATGTTCCTCTTCAGTTACGTGAGGTTTATCCCGTTTCCAAAGAAATTCTCAGAGAAGTCCCAAAATCCACTTGCATATTCCACAAAAGGTGTGTTTTGAAAATGCGCCATCAAAAGATATGCTCAGCTCTGTGACTTAAACTCAATCATCGCAAAGTATTTTACTGAGAATGCTTCTGTCTTGTTTTTAGATGAAGTTCTTTCCTTTACTACGATAGGCCTCAAAGAGGTCCAAATCTCCACTTGCAGATTCTGCAGAAGGAGTGTTTCAAACCTGAACTATCAGAGAAAGGTTCAACACTGTGAGTTGAATGCAAGCATCATGAAGAAGGTTCTGAGAATGCTTCTGTTTACGTAGGTGAGTTTTCTCCCGTATCCAATGAAATCCTCAGAGCGGTCCAAATCTCCACTTGCAGATTCTACAAAAAGTGTGTTTTGAAACTGCTCCATCCAAAGGAATGTTCAGCTCTGTGAATTGAACTCAATCGTCACAAAGTGTTTCCTGGGAATGCTCCTGTCTCCTTTTTATGTGCAGTTATATCCTCTACTGCCATAGGCCTCAAAGCGGTCCAAATCTCCCCTTTCAGATTCTACCAAAAGTGTGTTTCCAAACGGCTCCATCAAAGGGAATGTTCAACTCGGTGACTTGAATGCAATCATCACAAACCAGTTTCTGAGAATACTTCCATGTATCTTTGATGAGAAGATATTTCCTTTTCCACCCCAGGCCTCGAAGCCCTCCAAATGTCCCCTTGCAGATGCTAGAAAGGGAGGGTTTCAAAGCTGCTCTATCAAAAGGAAAGTACAACACTGCGAGTTGAATGCAAACATCACAAAGAAGTTCCTGAGCATGCTTCCGTTTAGCTTTTACGGGAAGATTATCCCTTTTCCATAGAAATGTTCAAAGAGGTCCACATATCCGCTTGCAGATTCCACCGAAAGAGTGTTTCCAAACTGCTGCATCAAAAGGAATCCTCAGCTCCGTGAGTTGAATGCAATCATCACCAAGAAGTTTCTGACAATGCTTCTCTCTAGTTTTTATGTGAAGATATTTCCTTTTCCACCGCAGGCCTGAAAGCGCTCCAAATGTCCACTTGGAGGCTCTACGAAAAGAATGTTTCAAAACTGCTCTATGAAAAGCAATGTTATACTCTGGGAGTTGAACACAAGCCTCACAAAGGAGTTTCTGAGAATGCTTCTGTTTACTTTTTACGTTAGGATATTCCCGTTTCCAAAGAAGTCTTCACAGAGTTCCACTTATCCATTTGCAGATGCTAGCAAAAGAGAGTTTCAAAACTGCTCCATCAAAAGGAATGTTCAACTCTGTGAGTTGCATGCAATCATCACAGAGAAGTTTCTGAGAAGGCTTCTGTCTAGATTTTACGTGAAGATATAGCCGTTTCGAACGAAGGCCACAAAGTGCTCCAAATATCCACTTGCAGGTCCTCCAAAAAGAGTGTTTCAAACGTGAACTACCAAAGGAAGGCTCAACTCTGGACTTTGAACGCCAACGTCAGAAGGATGTTTCTGCGAAAGCTTCTGTTTAGTTAGGTGACGTTATCCCGTTTCCAAAGAAATCCTCAGAGAGGTCCAAATGTCCACCTGCAGGGTCCACAAAAAGTGTGTTTCCAAACTGCTCCACCCAAAGGAATGTTCAGCTGTGTGAGTTAAACTCAATCATCACAAAGTATTTTCTGAGAATGCTTCTGTCCAGTTTTTACGTGAAGCTGTTTCCTTTACTACCGTAGGCCTCAAAGCGTTCCAAATCTCCACTTGCAGATGCTACGAAAAGAGCGTTTCAACCTGAACTCACAAGGGAAGGTTCACCTCTGTCAGTTGAATGTCAACATCACAAAGAAGTTCTGAGAATGTTCCTCTTCAGTTATGGGAGTTTTATCCCGTTTCCCACGAAATTCTCAGAGAAGTCCCAAAATCCACTTGCATATTCCACAAAAGGTGTGTTTGGAAAATGCGCCATCAAAAGATATGCTCAGCTCTGTGAGTTAAACTCAAGCATCGCAAAGAATTTTCTGAGAATGCTTCTGTCTTGTTTTTAGATGAGGTTATATCCTTTACTACGATAGGCCTCAAAGAGGTCCAAATCTCCACTTGCAGATTCTGCAGAAGGAGTGTTTAAAACCTGAACTATCAGAGAAAGGTTGAACACTGTGAGTTGAATGCAAGCATCACGAAGAAGGTTCTGAGAATGCTTCTGTCTTGTTTTTAGATGAAGTTCTTTCCTTTACTACGATAGGCCTCAAAGAGGTCCAAATCTCCACTTGTAGATTCTGCAGAAGGAGTGTTTAAAACCTGAACTATCAGAGAAAGGTTCAACACTGTGAGTTGAATGCAAGCATCACGAAGAAGGTTCTGAGAATGCTTCTGTTTACGTAGGTGAGTTTTCTCCCGTATCCAGCGAAATCCTCAGAGCGGTCCAAATCTCCACTTGCAGATTCTACACAAAGTGTGTTTGGAAACTGCTCCAACCAAAGGAATATTCAGCTCTGTGAGTTGAACTCAATCGTCACAAAGTGTTTCCTGGGAATGCTCCTGTCTCGCTTTTATGTGCAGTTTATCCTCTGCTGCCATAGGCCTCAAAGCGTTCCAAATATCCCCTTTCAGATTCTACCAGAAGTGTGTTTCCAAACGGCTCCATCAAAGGGAATGTGCAACTCGGTGACTTGAAAGCAATCATCACAAAGCAGCTTCTGAGAATGCTTCCATGTAGCTTTGATGAGAAGATATTTCCTTTTCCACCCCAGGCCTCGAAGCCCTCCAAATGTCCCCTTGCAGATGCTAGAAAGAGGGGGTTTCAAAGCTGCTCTATCAGAAGGAAAGTACAACTCTGTGAGTTGAATGCAAACATCACAAGGAAGTTCCTGAGCATGCTTCTGTTTAGCTTTTACGGGAAGATTATCCCTTTTCCATCAGAATGTTCAAAGGAGGTCCACATATCCGCTTGCAGATTCCACCGAAAGAGTGTTTCCAAACTGCTGCATCAAAAGGAATCCTCAGCTCCGTGAGTTGAATGCAATCATCACCAAGAGGATTCTGAGAATGCTTCTCTCTAGTTTTTATGTGAAGATATTTCCTTATCCACCACAGGCCTGAAAGCGCTCCAAATGTCCACTTGGAGGCTCTACGAAAAGAATGTTTCAAAACTGCTCCATGAAAAGCAATGTTATACTCTGGGAGTTGAACACAAGCCTCACAAAGGAGTTTCTGAGAATGCTTCTGTTTACTTTTTACGTGAGGATATTCCCGTTTCCAAAGAAGTCTTCACAGAGTTCCACCTATACATTTGCAGATGCTAGCAAAAGAGAGTTTCAAAACTGCTCCATCAAAAGGAATGTTCAACTCTGTGAGTTGCATGCAATCATCACAGAGAAGTTTCTGAGAAGGATTCTGTCTAGTATTTTATGTGAAGATATAGCCGTTTCGAACGAAGGCCACAAAGTGCTCCAATATCCACTTGCAGGTCCTCCAAAAAGAGTGTTTCAAACGTGAACTACCAAAGGAAGGCTCAACTGTGGACTTTGAATGCCAACGTCAGAAAGATGTTTCCGCGAAAGCCTCTGTTTAGTTAGGTGACGTTATCCCGTTTCCAACGAAATCCTCAGAGAGGTCCAAATATCCACCTGCAGAGTCTACAAAAAGTGTGTTTCAAAACTGCTCCACCCAAAGGAATGTTCAGCTCTGTGAGTTGAACTCAATCATCCCAAAGTATTTTCTGAGAAGGCTTCTGTCCAGTTTTTACATGAAGCTGTTTCCTTTACTACCGTAGGCCTCAAAGCGTTCCAAACCTCCACTTGCAGATACTACGAAAAGAGCGTTTCAACCTGAACTCACAAGGGAAGGTTCAACTCTGTCAGTTGAATGCCAACGTCACCAAGAACTTCTGAGAATGTTCCTCTTCAGTTATGTGAGGTTTATCCCGTTTCCAACGAAATTCTCAGAGAAGTCCCAAAATCCACTTGCATATTCTACAAAAGGTGTGTCTTGAAAATGCGCCATCAAAAGATATGCTCAGCTCTGTGAGTTAAACTCAATCATCGCAAAGAATTTTCTGAGAATGCTTCTGTCTTGTTTTTAAATGAAGTTCTTTCCTTTACTACGACAGGCCTCAAAGAGGTCCAAATCTCCACTTGCAGATTCTGCAGAAGGAGTGTTTCAAACCTGAACCGTCAGAGGAAGGTTCAACACTGTGAGTTGAATGCAAGCATCACGAAGAAGGTTCTGAGAATGCTTCTGTTTACGTAGGTGACTTTTCTCCCGTATCCAATGAAATCCTCAGAGCGGTCCAAATCTCCACTTGAAGATTCTACACAAAGTGTGTTTGGAAACTGCTCCACCCAAAGGAATGTTCAGCTCTGTGAGTTGAACTCAATCGTCACAAAGCGTTTCCTGGGAATGCTCCTGTCTCGCTTTTATGTGCAGTAATATCCTCTACTGCCATAGGCCTCAAAGCGGTCCAAATCTCCCCTTTCAGATTCTACCAAAAGTGTGTTTCCACACGGCCCCATCAAAGGGGATATTCAATTCGGTGACTTGAATGCAATCATCCCGAAGCAGCTTCTGAGAATGCTTCCATGTAGCTCTGATGAGAAGATATTTCCTTTTCCACCCCCGGCCTCGAAGCCCTCCAAATGTCCCCTTGCAGATGCTAGAAAGAGGGGGTTTCAAAGCTGCTCTATCAGAAGGAAAGTACAACTCTGTGAGTTGAATGCAAACATCACAAGGAAGTTCCTGAGCATGCTTCCGTTTAGCTTTTACGGGAAGATTATCCCTTTTCCATCGCAATGTTCAAAGAGGTCCACATATCCGCTTGCAGATTCCACCGAAAGAGTGTTTCCAAACTGCTGCATCCAAAGGAATCCTCAGCTCCGTGAGTTGAATGCAATCATCACCAAGAAGTTTCTGACAATGCTTCTCTCTAGTTTTTATGTGAAGATATTTCCTTTTCCACCGCAGGCCTGAAAGCGCTCCAAATGTCCACTTGGAGGCTCTACGAAAAGAATGTTTCAAAACTGCTCTATGAAAAGCAATGTTATACTCTGGGAGTTGAACACAAGCCTCACAAAGGAGTTTCTGAGAATGCTTCTGTTTACTTTTTACGTGTGGATATTCCCGTTTCCAAAGAAGTCTTCACAGAGTTCCACCTATCCATTTGCAGATGCTAGCAAAAGACAGTTTCAAAACTGCTCTATCAAAAGGAATGTTCAACTCTGTGAGTTGCATGCAATCATCACAGAGAAGTTTCTGAGAAGGCTTCTGTCTAGATTTTATGTGAAGATATAGCTGTTTCGAACGAAGACCACAATGTGCTCCAATATCCACTTGCAGGTCCTCCAAAAAGAGTGTTTCAAACGTGAACTACCAAAGGAAGGCTCAACTGTGGACTTTGAATGCCAACGTCAGAAAGATGTTTCTGCGAAAGCTTCTGTTTAGTTAGGTGACGTTATCCCGTTTCCAACGAAATCCTCAGAGAGTTCCAAATATCCACCTGCAGAGTCTACAAAAAGTGTGTTTCAAAACTGCTCCACCCAAAGGAATGTTCAGCTCTGTGAGTTGAACTCAATCATCCCAAAGTATTTTCTGAGAATGCTTCTGTCCAGTTTTTACATGAAGCTGTTTCCTTTACTACCGTAGGCCTCAAAGCGTTCCAAATCTCCACTTGCAGATGCTACGAAAAGAGCGTTTCAACCTGAACTCACAAGGGAAGGTTCACCTCTGTCAGTTGAATGTCAACATCACAAAGAAGTTCTGAGAATGTTCCTCTTCAGTTATGTGAGTTTTATCCCGTTTCCAACGAAATTCTCAGAGAAGTCCCAAAAACCACTTGCATATTCCACAAAAGGTGTGTTTTGAAAATGCGCCATCAAAAGATATGCTCAGCTCTGTGAGTTCAACTCAATCATCACAAAGAATTTTCTGAGAATGCTTCCGTCTTGTTTTTAGATGAAGTTCTTACCTTTACTACAATAGGCCTCAAAGAGGTCCAAATCTCCACTTGCAGATTCTGCAGAAGGAGTGTTTCAAACCTGAACTGTCAGAGAAAAGTTCAACACTGTGAGTTGAATGCAAGCATCACGAAGAAGGTTCTGAGAATGCTTCTGTTTTCGTAGGTGACTTTTCTCCCTATCCAACGAAATCCTCAGAGCGGTCCAAATCTCCACTTGCAGA
The DNA here is from genome assembly GCF_000001405.40 of Homo sapiens. Taxonomy (NCBI): domain Eukaryota; kingdom Metazoa; phylum Chordata; class Mammalia; order Primates; family Hominidae; genus Homo; species Homo sapiens. The sequence goes on along the minus strand of NC_000001.11, from coordinate 122,186,450 downwards.
TTCTACACAAAGTGTGTTTGGAAACTGCTCCACCCAAAGGAATGTTCGGCTCTGTGAGTTGAACTCAATGGTCACAAAGCGTTTCCTGGGAATGCTCCTGTCTCGCTTTTATGTGCAGTTATATCCTCTACTGCCATAGGCCTCAAAGCGGTCCAAATCTCCCCTTTCAGATTCTCCCAAAAGTGTGTTTCCAAACGGCCCCATCAAAGGGGATGTTCAACTCGGTGACTTGAATGCAATCATCACAAAGCAGCTTCTGAGAATGCTTCCATGTAGCTTTGATGAGAAGATATTTCCTTTTCCACCCCAGGCCTCGAAGCCCTCCAAATGTCCCCTTGCAGATGCTAGAAAGAGGGGGTTTCAAAGCTGCTCTATCAAAAGGAAAGTACAACTCTGTGAGTTGAATGCAAACATCACAAGGAAGTTCCTGAGCATGCTTCCGTTTAGCTTTTACGGGAAGATTATCCCTTTTCCATCGAAATGTTCAAAGAGGTCCACATATCCGCTTGCAGATTCCACCGAAAGAGTGTTTCCAAACTGCTGCATCCAAAGGAATCCTCAGCTCCGTGAGTTGAATGCAATCATCACCAAGAAGTTTCTGACAATGCTTCTCTCTAGTTTTTATGTGAAGATATTTCCTTTTCCAACACAGGCCTGAAAGCGTTCCAAATGTCCACCTGGACGCTCTACGAAAAGAATGTTTCAAAACTGCTCTATGAAAAGCAATGTTATACTCTGGGAGTTGAACACAAGCCTCACAAAGGAGTTTCTGAGAATGCTTCTGTTTACTTTTTACGTGAGGATATTCCCGTTTCCAAAGAAGTCTTCACAGATTTCCACCTATCCATTTGCAGATGCCAGGAAAACTAGAGAGTTTCAAAACTGCTCTATCAAAAGGAATGTTCAACTCTGTGAGTTGCGTGCAATCGTCACAGAGAAGTTTCTGAGAAGGCTTCTGTCTAGATTTTACGTGAAGATATAGCCGTTTCGAACTAAGGCCACAAAGTGCTCCAAATATCCACTTGCAGGTCCTCCAAAAAGAGTGTTTCAAACGTGAACTACCAAAGGAAGGCTCAACTCTGGACTTTGAATGCCAACGTCAGAAGGATGTTTCTGCGAAAGCTTCTGTTTAGTTAGGTGACGTTATCCCGTTTCCAACGAAATCCTCAGAGAGGTCCAAATATCCACCTGCAGAGTCTACAAAAAGTGTGTTTCAAAACTGCTCCACCAAAAGGAATGTTCAGCTCTGTGAGTTAAACTCAATCATCCCAAAGTATTTTCTGAGAATGCTTCTGTCCAGTTTTTACATGAAGCTGTTTCCTTTACTACCGTAGGCCTCAAAGCGTTCCAAATCTCCACTTGCAGATACTACGAAAAGAGCGATTCAACCTGAACTCACAAGGGAAGGTTCAACTCTATCAGTTGAATGCCAACATCACAAAGAAGTTTCTGAGAATGTTCCTCTTCAGTTATGTGAGGTTTATCCCGATTCCAACGAAATTCTCAGAGAAGTCCCAAAATCCACTTGCATATTCTACAAAAGGTGTGTCTTGAAAATGCGCCATCAAAAGATATGCTCAGCTCTGTGAGTTAAACTCAGTCATCGCAAAGAATTTTCTGAGAATGCTTCTGTCTTGTTTTTAGATGAAGTTCTTTCCTTTACTACGACAGGCCTCAAAGAGGTCCAAATCTCCACTTGCAGATTCTGCAGAAGGAGTGTTTCAAACCTGAACCGTCAGAGGAAGGTTCAACACTGTGAGTTGAATGCAAGCATCACGAAGAAGGTTCTGAGAATGCTTCTGTTTACGTAGGTGAGTTCTCTCCCGTATCCAACGAAATCCTCAGAGCGGTCCGAATCTCCACTTGCAGATTCTACACAAAGTGTGTTTGGAAACTGCTCCATCCAAAGGAATGTTCAGCTCCGTGAGTTGAACTCAATCGTCACAAAGTGTTTCCTGGGAATGCTACTGTCTCGTTTTTATGTGCAGTTTTATCCTCTACTGCCACAGGCCTCAAAGCGGTCCAAATCTCCCCTTTCAGATTCTACCAAAAGTGTGTTTCCAAAAGGCTCCATCAAAGGGAATGTTCAGCTCGGTGACTTGAAAGCAATCATCACAAAGCAGCTTCTGAGAATGCTTCTGTTTACTTTTTACGTGAGGATATTCCCGTTTCCAAAGAAATCTTCACAGAGTTCTACCTATCCATTTGCAGATGCTAGAAAAAGAGAGTTTCAAAACTGCTCTATCAAAAGGAATGTTCAACTCTGTGAGTTGCATGCAATCATCACAGAGAAGTTTCTGAGAAGGCTTCTGTCTAGATTTTATGTGAAGATATAGCCGTTTCGAACGAAGGCCACAAAGTGCTCCAAATATCCACTTGCAGGTCCTCCAAAAAGAGTGTTTCAAACGTGAACTACCAAAGGAAGGCTCCACTCTGGACTTTGAATGCAAACGTCAGAAAGATTTTTCTGCGAAAGCTTCTGTTTAGTTAGGTGACGTTATCCCGTTTCCAACGAAATCCTCAGAGAGGTCCAAATATCCACCTGCAGAGTCTACAAAAAGTGTGTTTCAAAACTGCTCCACCAAAAGGAATGTTCAGCTCTGTGAGTTAAACTCAATCATCCCAAAGTATTTTCTGAGAATTCTTCTGTCCAGTTTTTACATGAAGCTGTTTCCTTTACTACCGTAGGCCTCAAAGCGTTCCAAATCTCCACTTGCAGATACTACGAAAAGAGCGATTAAACCTGAACTCACAAGGGAAGGTTCAACTCTATCAGTTGAATGCCAACATCACAAAGAAGTTCTGAGAATGTTTCCTCTTCAGTTATGTGAGGTTTATCCCGTTTCCAACGAAATTCTCAGAGAAGTCCCAAAATCCACTGGCATATTCCACAAAAGGTGTGTTTGGAAATTGCGCCATCAAAAGATATGCTCAGCTCTGTGAGTTAAACTCAATCATCGCAAAGAATTTTCTGAGAATGCTTCCGTCTTGTTTTTAGATGAAGTTCTTTCCTTTACTACGATAGGCCTCAAGGAGGTCCAAATGTCCACTTGCAGATTCTGCAGAAGGAGTGTTTCAAACCTGAACTGTCAGAGAAAGGTTCAACACTGTGAGTTGAATGCACGCATCACGAAGAAGGTTCTGAGAATGCTTCTGTTTACGTAGGTGACTTTTCTCCCGTATCCAACGAAATCCTCAGAGCGGTCCAAATCTCCACTTGAAGATTCTACACAAAGTGTGTTTGGAAACTGCTCCACCCAAAGGAATGTCCAGCTCTGTGAGTTGAACTCAATGGTCACAAAGCGTTTCCTGGGAATGCTCCTGTCTCGTTTTTATGTGCAGTTATATCCTCTACTGCCATAGGCCTCAAAGCGGTCCAAATCTCCCCTTTCAGATTCTACCAAAAGTGTGTTTCCAAACGGCTCCATCAAAGGGAATGTTCAACACGGTGACTTGAATGCAATCATCTCAAAGCAGCTTCTGAGAATGTTTCCATGTAGCTTTGATGAGAAGATATTTCCTTTTCCACCCCAAGCCTCGAAGCCCTCCAAATGTCCCCTTGCAGATGCTAGAAAGAGGGGGTTTCAAAGCTACTCTCTCAAAAGGAAAGTACAACTCTGTGAGTTGAATGCAAACATCACAAAGAAGTTCCTGAGCATGCTTCCGTTTAGCTTTTACGGGAAGATTATCCCTTTTCCATCGGAATGTTCAAAGAGGTCCACATATCCGCTTGCAGATTCCACCGAAAGAGTGTTTCCAAATTGCTGCATCAAAAGGAATCCTCAGCTCCGTGAGTTGAATGCAATCATCACCAAGAAGTTTCTGACAATGCTTCTCTCTAGTTTTTATGTGAAGATATTTCCTTTTCCACCACTGGCCTGAAAGCGTTCCAAATGTCCACTTGGAGGCTCTACGAAAAGAATGTTTCAAAACTGCTCTATGAAAAGCAATGTTATACTCTGGGAGTTGAACACAAGCCTCACAAAGTAGTTTCTGAGAAGGCTTCTGTTTACTTTTTACGTGAGGATATTCCCGTTTCCAAAGAAGTCTTCAAAGAGTTCCACCTACCCATTTGCAGATGCTAGCAAAAGAGAGTTTCAAAACTGCTCCATCAAAAGGAATGTTCAACTCTGTGAGTTGCATGCAATCATCACAGAGAAGTTTCTGAGAAGGCTTCTGTCTAGATTTTATGTGAAGATATGGCCGTTTCGAACGAAGGCCACAAAGTGCTCCCAATATCCACTTGCAGGTCCTCCAAAAAGAGTGTTTCAAACGTGAACTACCAAAGGAAGGCTCAACTCTGGACTTTGAATGCCAACGTCAGAAGGATGTTTCTGCGAAAGCTTCTGTTTAGTTAGGTGACGTTATCCCGTTTCCAACGAAATCCTCAGAGAGGTCCAAATATCCACCTGCGGAGTCTACAAAAAGTGTGTTTCCAAACTGCTCCACCCAAAGGAATGTTCAGCTCTGTGAGTTGAACTCAATCGTCCCAAAGTATTTTCTGAGAATGCTTCTGCCCAGTTTTTACATGAAGCTGTTTCCTTTACTACCGTAGGCCTCAAAGCGTTCCAAACCTCCACTTGCAGATCCTAGGAAAAGAGCGTTTCAACCTGAACTCACAAGGGAAGGTTCAATTCTGTCAGTTGAATGCCAACATCACCAAGAAGTTCTGAGAATGTTCCTCTTCAGTTATGTGAGGTTTATCCCGTTTCCCACGAAATTCTCAGAGAAGTCCCAAAATCCACTTGCATATTCCACAAAAGGTGTGTTTGTAAAATGCGCCATCAAAAGATATGCTCAGCTCTGTGAGTTAAACTCAATCATCGCAAAGAATTTTCTGAGAATGCTTCCGTCTTGTTTTTAGATGAAGTTCTTTCCTTTACTACGACAGGCCTCAAAGAGGTCCAAATCTCCACTGGCAGATTCTGCAGAAGGAGTGTTTCAAACCTGAACTGTCAGAGAAAGGTTCAACACTGTGAGTTGAATGCAAGCATCACGAAGAAGGTTCTGAGAATGCTTCTGTTTACGTAGGTGACTTTTCTCCCGTATCCAGCGAAATCCTCAGAGCGGTCCAAATCTCCACTTGCAGATTCTACACAAAGTGTGTTTGGAAACTGCTCCACCCAAAGGAATGTTCAGTTCTGTGAGTTGAACTCAATCGTCACAAAGCGTTTCCTGGGAATGCTCCTGTCTCGCTTTTATGTGCAGTTATATCCTCTACTGCCATAGGCCTCAAAGCGGTCGAAATCTCCCCTTTCAGATTCTACCAAAAGTGTGTTTCCTAACGGCCCCATCAAAGGGGATGTTCAACTCGGTGACTTGAAAGCAATCATCACAAAGCAGCTTCTGAGAATGCTTCCATGTAGCTTTGATGAGAAGATATTTCCTTTTCCACCCCAGGCCTCAAAGCCCTCCAAATGTCCCCTTGCAGATGCTAGAAAGAGGGGGTTTCAAAGCTGCTCTATCAAAAGGAAAGTACAACTCTGTGAGTTGAATGCAAACATCACAAGGAAGTTCCTGAGCATGCTTCCGTTTAGCTTTTACGGGAAGATTATCCCTTTTCCATCGAAATGTTCAAAGAGGTCCACATATCCGCTTGCAGATTCCACCGAAAGAGTGTTTCCAAACTGCTGCATCCAAAGGAATCCTCAGCTCCGTGAGTTGAATGCAATCATCACCAAGAAGTTTCTGACAATGCTTCTCTCTAGTTTTTATGTGAAGATATTTCCTTAACCACCACAGGCCTGAAAGGGCTCCAAATGTCCACTTGGAGGCTCTATGAAAAGAATGTTTCAAAACTGCTCCATGAAAAGCAATGTTATACTCTGGGAGTTGAACACAAGCCTCACAAAGGAGTTTCTGAGATTGCTTCTGTTTACTTTTTACGTGAGGATATTCCCGTTTCCAAAGAAGTCTTCACAGAGTTCCACCTATCCATTTGCAGATGCTAGCAAAAGAGAGTTTCAAAACTGCTCTATCAAAAGGAATGTTCAACTCTGTGAGTTGCATGCAATCATCACAGAGAAGTTTCTGAGAAGGCTTCTGTCTAGAATTTATGTGAAGATATACCCGTTTCGAACGAAGGCCACAAAGTGCTCCAAATATCCACTTGCAGGTCCTCCAAAAAGAGTGTTTCAAACGTGAACTACCAAAGGAAGGCTCAAATCTGGACTTTGAATGCCAACGTCAGAAGGATGTTTCTGCGAAAGCTTCTGTTTAGTTAGGTGACGTTATCCCGTTTCCAACGAAATCCTCAGAGAGGTCCAAATATCCACCTGCTGAGTCTACAAACAGTGTGTTTCAAAACTGCTCCACCCAAAGGAATGTTCAGCTCTGTGAGTTGAACTCAATCATCCCAAAGTATTTTCTGAGAATGCTTCTGTCCAGTTTTTACATGAAGCTGTTTCCTTTACTACCGTAGGCCTCAAAGCGTTCCAAATCTCCACTTGCAGATGCTACGAAAGGAGCGTTTCAACCTGAACTCACAAGGGAAGGTTCACCTCTGTCAGTTGAATGTCAACATCAGAAAGAAGTTCTGAGAATGTTCCTCTTCAGTTATGTGAGGTTTATCCCGTTTCCAACGAAATTCTCAGAGAAGTCCCAATATCCACTTGCATATTCTACAAAACGTGTGTTTTGAAAATGCTCCATCAAAAGACCTGCTCAGCTCTGTGAGTTAAACTCAATCATCGCAAAGAATTTTCTGAGAATGCTTCCGTCTTGTTTTTAGATGAAGTTCTTTCCTTTACTATGATAGGCCTCAAGGAGGTCCAAATCTCCACTTGCAGATTCTGCAGAAGGAGTGTTTCAAACCTGAACTGTCAGAGAAAGGTTCAACACTGTGAGTTGAATGCAAGCATCACGAAGAAGGTTCTGAGAATGCTTCCGTTTACAGTAGGTGAGTTCTCTCCCGTATCCAACGAAATCCTCAGAGCGGTCCGAATCTCCACTTGCAGATTCTACACAAAGTGTGTTTGGAAACTGCTCCATCCAAAGGAATGTTCAGCTCTGTGAGTTGAACTCAATCGTCACAAAGTGTTTCCTGGGAATGCTACTGTCTCGTTTTTATGTGCAGTTATATCCTCTACTGCCATAGGCCTCAAAGCGGTCCAAATCTCCCCTTTCAGATTCTACCAAAAGTGTGTTTCCCAACGGCTCCATCAAAGAGAATGTTCAGCTCGGTGACTTGAAAGCAATCATCACAAAGCAGCTTCTGAGAATGCTTCCATGTAGCTTTGATGAGAAGATATTTCCTTTTCCACCCCAGGCCTCGAAGCCCTCCAAATGTCCCCTTGCAGATGCTAGAAAGAGGGGGTTTCAAAGCTGCTCTATCAAAAGGAAAGTACAACTCTGTGAGTTGAATGCAAACATCACAAGGAAGTTCCTGAGCATGCTTCTGTTTAGCTTTTACGGGAAGATTATCCCTTTTCCATCGAAATGTTCAAAGAGGTCCACATATCCGATTGCAGATTCCACCGAAAGAGTGTTTCCAAACTGCTGCATCAAAAGGAATCCTCAGCTCCGTGAGTTGAATGCAATCATCACCAAGAAGTTTCTGACAATGCTTCTCTCTAGTTTTTATGTGAAGATATTTCCTTTTCCACCGCAGGCCTGAAAGCGCTCCAAATGTCCACTTGGAGGCTCTACGAAAAGAATGTTTCAAAACTGCTCTATGAAAAGCAATGTTATACTCTGGGAGTTGAACACAAGCCTCACAAAGGAGTTTCTGAGAATGTTTCTGTTTACTTTTTACGTGAAGATATTCCCGTTTCCAAAGAAATCTTCACAGAGTTCCACCTATCCCTTTGCAGATGCTAGAAAAAGAGAGTTTCAAAACTGCTCTATCAAAAGGAATGTTCAACTCTGTGAGTTGAATGCAATCATCACAGAGAAGTTTCTGAGAAGGCTTCTGTCTAGATTTTATGTGAAGATATACCCGTTTCCAACGAAGGCCACAAAGTGCTCCAAATATCCACTTGCAGGTCCTCCAACAAGAGTGTTTCAACCGTGAACTATCAAAGCAAAGGTCAGCTCTGGACTTTGAATGCAAACGTCAGAAAGAAGTTTCTGCGAAAGCTTCTGTTTAGTTAGGTGACGTTATCCCACTTCCAACGAAATCCTCAGAGAGGTCCAAGTATCCACCTGCAGAGTCTACAAAAAGTGTGTTTCAGAACTGCTCCACCCAAAGGAATGTTCAGCTCTGTGAGTTGAACTCAATCATCCCAAAGTATTTTCTGAGAATGCTTCTGTCCAGTTTTTACATGAAGCTGTTTCCTTTACTACCGTAGGCCTCAAAGCGTTCCAAACCTCCACTTGCAGATACTACGAAAAGAGCGTTTCAACCTGAACTCACAAGGGAAGGTTCAACTCTGTCAGTTGAATGCCAACATCACCAAGAACTTCTGAGAATGTTCCTCTTCAGTTATGTGAGGTTTATCCCGTTTCCAACGAAATTCTCAGAGAAGTCCCAATATCCACTTGCATATTCTACAAAACGTGTGTTTTGAAAATGCTCCATCAAAAGACCTGCTCAGCTCTGTGAGTTAAACTCAATCATCGCAAAGAATTTTCTGAGAATGCTTCCGTCTTGTTTTTAGATGAAGTTCTTTCCTTTACTACCACAGGCCTCAAAGAGGTCCAAATCTCCACTGGCAGATTCTGCAGAAGGAGTGTTTCAAACCTGAACTGTCAGAGAAAGGTTCAACACTGTGAGTTGAATGCAAACATCACGAAGAAGGTTCTGAGAATGCTTCTGTTTACGTAGGTGACTTTTCTCCCGTATCCAGCGAAATCCTCAGAGCGGTCCAAATCTCCACTTGCAGATTCTACACAAAGTGTGTTTGGAAACTGCTCCACCCAAAGGAATGTTCAGCTCTGTGAGTTGAACTCAATCGTCACAAAGCGTTTCCTGGGAATGCTCCTGTCTCGCTTTTATGTGCAGTTATATCCTCTACTGCCATAGGCCTCAAAGCTGTCGATATCTCCCCTTTCAGATTCTACCAAAAGTGTGTTTCCAAATGGCCCCATCAAAGGGGATGTTCAACTCGGTGACTTGAATGCAATCATCACAAAGCAGCTTCTGAGAATGCTTCCATGTAGCTTTCATGAGAAGATATTTCCTTTTCCACCCCAGGCCTCGAAGCCCTCCAAATGTCCCCTTGCAGATGCTAGAAAGAGAGGGTTTCAAAGCTGCTCTATCAAAAGGAAAGTACAACTCTGCGAGTTGAATGCAAACATCACAAAGAAGTTCCTGAGCATGCTTCCGTTTAGCTTTTACGGGAAGATTATCCCTTTTCCATCGGAATGTTCAAAGAGGTCTACATATCCGCTTGCAGATTCCACCGAAAGAGTGTTTCCAAACTGCTGCATCAAAAGGAATCCTCAGCTCCGTGAGTTGAATGCAATCATCACCAAGAAGTTTCTGAGAATGCTTCTCTCTAGTTTTTATGTGAAGATATTTCCTTATCCACCACAGGCCTGAAAGCGCTCCAAATGTCCACTTGGAGGCTCTACGAAAAGAATGTTTCAAAACTGCTCCATGAAAAGCAATGTTATACTCTGGGAGTTGAACACAAGCCTCACAAAGGAGTTTCTGAGAATGCTTCTGTTTACTTTTTACGTGAGGATATTCCCGTTTCCAAAGAAGTCTCCACAGAGTTCCACCTATCCATTTGCAGATGCTAGCAAAAGAGAGTTTCAAAACTGCTCTATCAAAAGGAATGTTCAACTCTGTGAGTTGCATGCAATCATCACAGAGAAGTTTCTGAGAAGGCTTCTGTCTAGATTTTATGTGAAGATATAGTCGTTTCGAACGAAGGCCACAAAGTGCTCCAAATATCCACTTGCAGGTCCTCCAAAAAGAGTGTTTCAAACGTGAACTACCAAAGGAAGGCTCAACTCGGGACTTTGAAAGCCAACGTCAGAAGGATGTTTCTGCGAAAGCTTCTGTTTAGTTATGTGACGTTATACCGTTTCCAACGAAATCCTCAGAGAGGTCCAAATATCCACCTGCAGAGTCTACAAAAAGTGTGTTTCAAAACTGCTCCACCCAAAGGAATGTTCAGCTCTGTGAGTTGAACTCAATCATCCCAAAGTATTTTCTGAGAAGGCTTCTGTCCAGTTTTTACATGAAGCTGTTTCCTTTACTACCGTAGGCCTCAAAGCGTTCCAAACCTCCACTTGCAGATACTACGAAAAGAGCGTTTCAACATGAACTCACAAGGGAAGGTTCAACTCTGCCAGTTGAATGCCAACATCAAGAAGAACTTCTGAGAATGTTCCTCTTCAGTTATGTGAGGTTTATCCCGTTTCCAACGAAATTCTCAGAGAAGTCCCAATATCCACTTGCATATTCTACAAAACGTGTGTTTTGAAAATGCTCCATCAAAAGACCTAATCAGCTCTGTGAGTTAAACTCAATCATTGCAAAGAATTTTCTGAGAATGCTTCTGTCTTGTTTTTAGATGAAGTTCTTTCCTTTACTACGACAGGCCTCAAAGACGTCCAAATCTCCACTTGCAGATTCTGCAGAAGGAGTGTTTCAAACCTGAACTGTCAGAGAAAGGTTCAACACTGTGAGTTGAATGCAAGCATCACGAAGAAGGTTCTGAGAATGCTCTGTTTACGTAGGTGAGTTCTCTCCCGTATCCAACGAAATCCTCAGAGCGGTCCGAATCTCCACTTGCAGATTCTACACAAAGTGTGTTTGGAAACTGCTCCATCCAAAGGAATGTTCAGCTTCGTGAGTTGAACTCAATCGTCACAAAGTGTTTCCTGGGAATGCTACCTGTCTCGATTTTATGTGCAGTTATATCCTCTACTGCCATAGGCCTCAAAGCGGTCCAAATCTCCCCTTTCAGATTCTACCAAAAGTGTGTTTCCAAACGGCCCCATCAAAGTGGATGTTCAACTCGGTGACTTGAATGCAATCATCACAAAGCAGCTTCTGAGAATGCTTCCATGTAGCTTTCATGAGAAGATATTTCCTTTTCCACCCCAGGCCTCGAAGCCCTCCAAATGTCCCCTTGCAGATGCTAGAAAGAGAGGGTTTCAAAGCTGCTCTATCAAAAGGAAAGTACAACTCTGCGAGTTGAATGCAAACATCACAAAGAAGTTCCTGAGCATGCTTCCGTTTAGCTTTTACGGGAAGATTATCCCTTTTCCATCGAAATGTTCAAAGAGGTCCACATATCCGCTTGCAGATTCCACCGAAAGAGTGTTTCCAAACTGCTGCATCCAAAGGAATCCTCAGCTCCGTGAGTTGAATGCAATCATCACCAAGAAGTTTCTGACAATGCTTCTCTCTAGTTTTTATGTGAAGATATTTCCTTATCCACCACAGGCCTGAAAGGGCTCCAAATGTCCACTTGGAGGCTCTACGAAAAGAATGTTTCAAAACTGCTCCATGAAAAGCTATGTTATACTCTGGGAGTTGAACACAAGCCTCACAAAGGAGTTTCAGAGAATGCTTCTGTTTACTTTTTACGTGAGGATATTCCCGTTTCCAAAGAAGTCTTCACAGAGTTCCACCTATCCATTTGCAGATGCTAGCAAAAGAGAGTTTCAAAACTGCTCCATCAAAAGGAATGTTCAACTCTGTGAGTTGCATGCAATCATCACAGAGAAGTTTCTGAGAAGGCTTCTGTCTAGATTTTATGTGAAGATATGGCCGTTTCGAACGAAGGCCACAAAGCGCTCCCAATATCCACTTGCAGGTCCTCCAAAAAGAGTGTTTCAAACGTGAACTACCAAAGGAAGGCTCAACTCTGGACTTTGAATGCCAACGTCAGAAGGATGTTTCTGCGAAAGCTTCTGTTTAGTTAGGCGACGTTATCTCGTTTCCAACGAAATCCTAGGAGAGGTCCAAATATCCTCCAGCAGAGTCTGCAAAAAGTGTGTTTCAAAACTGCTCCACCCAAAGGAATGTTCAGCTCTGTGAGTTGAACTCAATCATCCCAAAGTATTTCCTGAGAATGCTTCTGTCCAGTTTTTACATGAGGCTGTTTCCTTTACTACCGTAGGCCTCAAAGCGTTCCAAATCTCCACTTGCAGATGCTACGAAAAGAGCGTTTCAACCTGAACTCACAAGGGAAGGTTCACCTCTGTCAGTTGAATGTCAACATCACAAAGAAGTTCTGAGAATGTTCCAGGGTGGTGTTTTTAGATGAAGTTCTTTGTGATCCACCCACCTTGGCCTCCCAAAGTGCTGGGATTACAGGTGTGAGCCACTGCACCTGGCCCAGTGAAGTTATCTTTAAAAAAATAAAGGGAAGGATTCCAACTTCAGAAGTGATGAAGTAAGCGCATTCCACCCGGTCTCTCCCTCTGGACACAACTGTGACACCTGAACATACGCATAGACCAGTTATTGGAGGACTCTGAAAAGTAAATTGCAGCAGGCAGGTGAGAAAGAAAACCAG
>NC_000001.11:122125344-122173931 GCF_000001405.40 Homo sapiens | reverse complement strand
TCTGTCTTGTTTTTAAATGAAGTTCTTTCCTTTACTACGACAGGCCTCAAAGAGGTCCAAATCTCCACTTGCAGATTCTGCAGAAGGAGTGTTTCAAACCTGAACCGTCAGAGGAAGGTTCAACACTGTGAGTTGAATGCAAGCATCACGAAGAAGGTTCTGAGAATGCTTCTGTTTACATAGTTGACTTTTCTCCCGTATCCAGCGAAATCCTCAGAGCGGTCCAAATCTCCACTTGCAGATTCTACACAAAGTGTGTTTGGAGACTGCTCCATCCAAAGGAATGTTCAGCTCTGTGAGTTGAACTCAATCGTCACAAAGTGTTTCCTGGGAATGCTCCTGTCTCGCTTTTATGTGCAGTTATATCCTCTACTGCCATAGGCCTCAAAGCGGTCCAAATCTCCCCTTTCAGATTCTACCAAAAGTGTGTTTCCAAACGGCCCCATCAAAGGGGATGTTCAACTCGGTGACTTGAATGCAATCATCACAAAGCAGCTTCTGAGAATGCTTCCATGTAGCTTTGATGAGAAGATATTTCCTTTTCCACCCCAGGCCTCGAAGCCCTCCAAATGTCCCCTTGCAGATGCTAGAAAGAGGGGGTTTCAAAGCTGCTCTATCAAAAGGAAAGTACAACTCTGTGAGTTGAATGCAAACATCACAAGGAAGTTCCTGAGCATGCTTCCGTTTAGCTTTTACGGGAAGATTATCCCTTTTCCATCGAAATGTTCAAAGAGGTCCACATATCCGCTTGCAGATTCCACCGAAAGAGTGTTTCCAAACTGCTGCATCCAAAGGAATCCTCAGCTCCGTGAGTTGAAGGCAATCATCACCAAGAAGTTTCTGACAATTCTTCTCTCTAGCTTTTATGTGAAGATATTTCCTTTTCCACCGCAGGCCTGAAAGCGCTCCAAATGTCCACTTGGAGGCTCTACGAAAAGAATGTTTCAAAACTGCTCTATGAAAAGCAATGTTATACTACTGGGAGTTGAACACAAGCCTCACAAAGGAGTTTCTGAGAATGCTTCTGTTTACTTTTTACGTGAGGATATTCCCGTTTCCAAAGAAAGTCTTCACAGAGTTCCACCTATCCATTTGCAGATGCTAGCAAAAGAGAGTTTCAAAACTGCTCCATCAAAAGGAATGTTCAACTCTGTGAGTTGCAGGCAATCATCACAGAGAAGTTTCTGAGAAGGCTTCTGTCTAGATTTTATGTGAAGATATAGCCGTTTCGAACGAAGGCCACAAAGTGCTCCAAATATCCACTTGCAGGTCCTCCAAAAAGAGTGTTTCAAACGTGAACTACCAAAGGAAGGCTCAACTCTGGACTTTGAATGCCAACGTCAGAAAGATGTTTCTGCGAAAGCTTCTGTTTAGTTAGGTGACGTTATCCCGTTTCCAACGAAATCCTCAGAGAGGTCCAAATATCCACCTGCAGAGTCTACAAAAAGTGTGTTTCAAAACTGCTCCACCCAAAGGAATGTTCAGCTCTGTGAGTTGAAGTCAATCATCCCAAAGTATTTTCTGAGAATGCTTCTGTCCAGTTTTTACCTGAAGCTGTTTCCTTTACTACCGTAGGCCTCAAAGCGTTCCAAATCTCCACTTGCAGATAGTACGAAAAGAGCGTTTCAACCTGAACTCACAAGGGAAGGTTCAACTCTGTCAGTTGAATGCCAACATCACCAAGAACTTCTGAGAATGTTCCTCTTCAGTTATGTGAGGTTTATCCCGTTTCCAACGAAATTCTCAGAGAAGTCCCAAAATCCACTTGCATATTCTACAAAAGGTGTGTTTTGAAAATGCGCCATCAAAAGATATGCTCAGCTCTGTGAGTTAAACTCAATCATCGCAAAGAATTTTCTGAGAATGCTTCTGTCTTGTTTTTAGATGAAGTTCTTTCCTTTACTACGATAGGCCTCAAAGAGGTCCAAATCTCCACTTGCAGATTCTGCAGGAGTGTTTCAAACCTAAACTGTCAGAGAAAGGTTCAACACTGTGAGTTGAATGCAAGCTTCACGAAGAAGGTTCTGAGAATGCTTCTGTTTACGTAGGTGAGTTTTCTGCCATATCCAACGAAATCCTCAGAGCGGTCCAAATCTCCACTTGCAGATTCTACACAAAGTGTGTTTGGAAACTGCTCCATCCAAAGGAATGTTCAGCTCTGTGAGTTGAACTCAAGCGTCACAAAGTGTTTCCTGGGAATGCTCCTGTCTCGTTTTTATGTGCAGTTATATCCTCTACTGCCATAGGCCTCAAAGCGGTCCAAATCTCCCCTTTCAGATTCTACCAAAAGTGTGTTTCCAAACGGCTCCATCAAAGGGAGTGTTCATCTCGGTGACTTGAATGCAATCATCACAAAGCAGCTTCTGAGAATGCTTCCATGTAGCTTTGATGAGAAGATATTTCCTTTTCCACCCCAGGCCTCGAAGCCCTCCAAATGTCCCCTTGCAGATGCTAGAAAGAGGGGGTTTCAAAGCTGCTCTATCAGAAGGAAAGTACAACTCTGTGAGTTGAATGCAAACATCACAAGGAAAGTTCCTGAGCATGCTTCCGTTTAGCTTTTACGGGAAGATTATCCCTTTTCCATCGAAATGTTCAAAGAGGTCCACATATCCGCTTGCAGATTCCACCGAAAGAGTGTTTCCAAACTGCTGCATCAAAAGGAATCCTCAGCTCCGTGAGTTGAATGCAATCATCACCAAGAAGTTTCTGACAATGCTTCTCTCTAGTTTTTATGTGAAGATATTTCCTATTCCACCACAGGCCTGAAAGCCCTCCAAATGTCCACTTGGAGGCTCTACGAAAAGAAAGTTTCAAAACTGCTCTATGAAAAGCAATGTTATACTCTGGGAGTTGAACACAAGCCTCACAAAGGAGTTTCTGAGAATGCTTCTGTTTACTTTTTACGTGAGGATATTCCCGTTTCCAAAGAAGTCTTCACAGAGTTCCACTTATACATTTGCAGATGCTAGCAAAAGAGAGTTTCAAAACTGCTCCATCAAAAGGAATTTTCAACTCCTGTGAGTTGCATGCAATCATCACAGAGAAGTTTCTGAGAAGGCTTCTGTCTAGATTTTATGTGAAGATATGGCCGTTTCGAACGAAGGCCACAAAGCGCTCCCAATATCCACTTGCAGGTCCTCCAAAAAGAGTGTTTCAAACGTGAACTAACAAAGGAAGGCTCAACTCTGGACTTTGAATGCCAACGTCAGAAGGATGTTTCTGCGAAAGCTTCTGTTTAGTTAGGTGACGTTATCCCTTTTCCAACGAAATCCTCAGAGAGGTCCAAATGTCCACCTGCAGAGTCTACAAAACGTGTGTTTCCAAACTGCTCCACCCAAAGGAATGTTCAGCTCTGTGAGTTAAACTCAATCATCACAAAGTATTTTCTGAGAATGCTTCTGTCCAGTTTTTACATGAAGCTGTTTCGTTTACTACCATAGGCCTCAAAGCATTCCAAATCTCCACTTGAAGATAGTACGAAAAGAGCGTTTCAACCTGAACTCACAAGGGAAGGTTCAACTCTGTCAGTTGAATGCCAACATCACAAAGAAGTTCTGAGAGTGTTCCTCTTCAGTAATGTGAGGTTTATCCCGTTTCCAACGAAATTCTCGGAGAAGTCCCAATATCCACTTGCATATTCTACAAAACGTGTGTTTTGAAAATGCTCCATCAAAAGACCTGCTCAGCTCTGTGAGTTAAACTCAATCATCGCAAAGAATTTTCTGAGAATGCTTCTGTCTTGTTTTTAGATGAAGTTCTTTCCTTTACTACGATAGGCCTCAAAGAGGTCCAAATCTCCACTTGCAGATTCTGCAGAAGGAGTGTTTCAAACCTGAACCGTCAGAGAAAGGTTCAACACTGTGAGTTGAATGCAAGCATCACGAAGATGGTTCTGAGAATGCTTCTGTTTACGTAGGTGAGTTCTCTCCCGTATCCAACGAAATCCTCAGAGCGGTCCAAATCTCCACTTGCAGATTCTACACAAAGTGTGTTTGGAAACTGCTCCATCCAAAGGAATGTTCAGCTCTGTGAGTTGAACTCCATCGTCACAAAGTGTTTCCTGGGAATGCCACTGTCTCGTTTTTATGTGCAGTTATGTCCTCTACTGCCATAGGCCTCAAAGCGGTCCAAATCTCCCCTTTCAGATTCTACCAAAAGTGTGTTTCCAAACGGCTCCATCAAAGGGAATGTTCAACTCGGTGAGTTGAATGCAATCATCACAAAGCATGTTCTGAGAATGCTTCCATGTATCTTTGATGAGAAGATATTTCCTTTTCCACCCCAGGCCTCGAAGCCCTCCAAATGTCCCCTTGCAGATGCTAGAAAGGGAGGGTTTCAAAGCTGCTCTATCAAAAGGAAAGTACAACACTTGCGAGTTGAATGCAAACATCACAAAGAAGTTCCTGAGCATGCTTCCGTTTAGCTTTTACGGGAAGATTATCCCTTTTCCATCGAAATGTTCAAAGAGGTCCACAAATCCGCTTGCAGATTCCACCGAAAGAGTGTTTCCAAACTGCTGCATCCAAAGGAATCCTCAGCTCCGTGAGTTGAAGGCAATCATCACCAAGAAGTTTCTGACAATGCTTCTCTCTAGCTTTTATGTGAAGATATTTCCTTTTCCACCGCAGGCCTGAAAGCGCTCCAAATGTCCACTTGGAGGCTCTACGAAAAGAATGTTTCAAAACTGCTCTATGAAAAGCAATGTTATACTCTGGGAGTTGAACACAAGACTCACAAAGGAGTATCTGAGAATGCTTCTGTTTACTTTTTACGTGAGGATATTCCCGTTTCCAAAGAAATCTTCACAGAGTTCCACCTATCCATTTGCAGATGCCAGCAAAACTAGAGAGTTTCAAAACTGCTCTATCAAAAGGAATGTTCAACTCTGTGAGTTGCGTGCAATCATCACAGAGGAGTTTGTGAGAAGGCTTCTGTCTAGATTTTACGTGAAGATATAGCCGTTTCGAACGAAGGCCACAAAGTGCTCCAAATATCCACTTGCAGGTCCTCCAAAAAGAGTGTTTCAAACGTGAACTACCAAAGGAAGGCTCAACTCTGGACTTTGAAGGCCAACGTCAGAAGGATGTTTCTCCGAAAGCTTCTGTTTAGTTAGGTGACGTTATCCCGTTTCCAACGAAATCCTCAGAGAGGTCCAAATATCCACCTGCGGAGTCTACAAAAAGTGTGTTTCCAAACTGCTCCACCCAAAGGAATGTTCAGCTCTGTGAGTTGAACTCAATCGTCCCAAAGTATTTTGTGAGAATGCTTCTGCCCAGTTTTTACGTGAAGCTCTTTCCTTTACTACCGTAGGCCTCAAAGCGTTCCAAACCTCCACTTGCAGATACTACGAAAAGAGCGTTTCAACCTGAACTCACAAGGGAAGGTTCAACTCTGTCAGTTGAATGCCAACATCACCAAGAACTTCTGAGAATGTTCCTCTTCAGTTATGTGAGGTTTATCCCGTTTCCAACGAAATCCTCAGAGAAGTCCCAAAATCCACTTGCCTATTCTACAAAAGGTGTGTTTTGAAAATGCGCCATCAAAAGATATGCTCAGCTCTGTGAGTTAAACTCAATCATCGCAAAGAATTTTCTGAGAATGCTTCTGTCTTGTTTTTAGATGAAGTTCTTTCCTTTACTACGATAGGCCTCAAAGAGGTCCAAATCTCCACTTGCAGATTCTGCAGAAGGAGTGTTTCAAACCTGAACTATCAGAGAAAGGTTCAACACTGTGAGTTGAATGCAAGCATCACGAAGAAGGTTCTGAGAATGCTTCTGTTTACGTAGGTGACTTTTCTCCCGTATCCAACGAAATCCTCAGAGCGGTCCAAATCTCCACTTGCAGATTCTACACAAAGTGTGTTTGGAAACTGCTTCACCCAAAGGAATGTTCAGCTCTGTGAGTTGAACTCAATCGTCACAAAGCGTTTCCTGGGAATGCTCCTGTCTCGCTTTTATGTGCAGTTATATCCTCTACTGCCATAGGCCTCAAAGCGGTCCAAATCTCCCCTTTCAGATTCTACCAAAAGTGTGTTTCCAAACGGCCCCATCAAAGGGGATGTTCAACTCGGTGACTTGAATGCAATCATCACAAAGCAGCTTCTGAGAATGCTTCCATGTAGGTTTGATGAGAAGATATTTCCTTTTCCACCCCAGGCCTCGAAGCCCTCCAAATGTCCCCTTGCAGATGCTAGAAAGAGGGGGTTTCAAAGCTGCTCTATCAAAAGGAAAGTACAACTCTGTGAGTTGAATGCAAACATCACAAGGAAGTTCCTGAGCATGCTTCCGTTTAGCTTTTACGGGAAGATTATCCCTTTTCCATCGAAATGTTCAAAGAGGTCCACATATACGCTTGCAGATTCCACCGAAAGAGTGTTTCCAAACTGCTGCATCAAAAGGAATCCTCAGCTCCGTGAGTTGAATGCAATCATCACCAAGAAGTTTCTGACAATGCTTCTCTCTAGTTTTTATGTGAAGATATTTCCTTTTCCACCGCAGGCCTGAAAGCGCTCCAAATGTCCACTTGGAGGCTCTACGAAAAGAATGTTTCAAAACTGCTCTATGAAAAGCAATGTTATACTCTGGGAGTTGAACACAAGCCTCACAAAGGAGTTTCTGAGAATGCTTCTGTTTACTTCTTATGTGAGGATATTCCCGTTTCCAAAGAAGTCTTCACAGAGTTCCACCTATCGTTTTGCAGATGCCAGCAAAAGAGAGTTTCAAAACTGCCCTATCAAAAGGAACGTTCAACTCTGTGAGTTGCATGCAATCATCACAGAGAAGTTTCTGAGAAGGCTTCTGTCTAGATTTTATGTGAAGATATAGCCGTTTCGAATGAAGGCCACAAAGTGCTCCAAATATCCACTTGCAGGTCCTCCAAAAAGAGTGTTTCAAACGTGAACTACCAAAGGAAGGCTCAACTCTGGACTTTGAAGGCCAACGTCAGAAGGATGTTTTTGCGGAAGCTTCTGTTTAGTTAGGTGACGTTATCCCGTTTCCAACGAAATCCTCAGAGAGGTCCAAATATCCACCTGCAGAGTCTACAAAAAGTGTGTTTCAAAACTGCTCCACCCAAAGGAATGTTCAGCTCTGTGAGTTGAACTCAATCATCCCAAAGTATTTTCTGAGAATTCTTCTGTCCAGTTTTTACATGAAGCTGTTTCCTTTACTACCGTAGGCCTCAAAGCGTTCCAAACCTCCACTTGCAGATCCTACGAAAAGAGCGTTTCAACCTGAACTCACAAGGGAAGGTTCAACTCTGTCAGCTGAATGCCAACATCACCAAGAAGTTCTGAGAATGTTCCTCTTCAGTTATGTGAGGTTTATCCCGTTTCCAACGAAATTCTCAGAGAAGTCCCAAAATCCACTTGCATATTCTACAAAAGGTGTGTCTTGAAAATGCGTCATCAAAAGATATGCTCACCTCTGTGAGTTCAACTCAATCATCGCAAAGAATTTTCTGAGAATGCTTCTGTCTTGCTTTTAGATGAAGTTCTTTCCTTTACTACGATAGGCCTCAAAGAGGTCCAAATCTCCACTTGCAGATTCTGCAGAAGGTGTGTTTCAAACCTGAACTGTCAGAGAAAGGTTCAACACTGTGAGTTGAATGCAAGCATCACGAAGAAGGTTCTGAGAATGCTTCTGTTTACATAGTTGACTTTTCTCCCGTATCCAGCGAAATCCTCAGAGCGGTCCAAATCTCCACTTGCAGATTCTACACAAAGTGTGTTTGGAGACTGCTCCATCCAAAGGAATGTTCAGCTCTGTGAGTTGAACTCAATCGTCACAAAGTGTTTCCTGGGAATGCTCCTGTCTCGCTTCTATGTGCAGTTATATCCTCTACTGCCATAGGCCTCAAAGCGGTCCAAATCTCCCCTTTCAGATCCTACCAAAAGTGTGTTTCCAAACGGCTCCATCAAAGGGAATGTTCAACTCGCTGACTTGAATGCAATCATCCCAAAGCAGCTTCTGAGAATGCTTCCATGTAGCTTTGATGAGAAGATATTTCCTTTTCCACCCCAGGCCTCGAAGCCCTCCAAATGTCCCCTTGCAGATGCTAGAAAGAGGGGGTTTCAAAGCTGCTCTATCAAAAGGAAAGTACAACGCTGTGAGTTGAATGCAAACATCACAAGGAAGTTCCTGAGCATGCTTTCGTTTAGCTTTTATGGGAAGATTATCCCTTTTCCATCGAAATGTTCAAAGAGGTCCACATATCCGCTTGCAGATTCCACCGAAAGAGTGTTTCCAAACTGCTGCATCAAAAGGAATCCTCAGCTCCGTGAGTTGAATGCAATCATCACCAAGAGGTTTCTGACAATGCTTCTCTCTAGTTTTTATGTGAAGATATTTCCTTTTCCAACACAGGCCTGAAAGCGTTCCAAATGTCCACCTGGACGCTCTACGAAAAGAATGTTTCAAAACTGCTCTATGAAAAGCAATGTTATACTCTGGGAGTTGAACACAAGCCTCACAAAGGAGTTTCTGAGAATGCTTCTGTTTACTTTTTACGTGAGGATATTCCCGTTTCCAAAGAAGTCTTCACAGAGTTCCACCTATACATTTGCAGATGCTAGCAAAAGAGAGTTTCAAAACTGCTCCATCAAAAGGAATTTTCAACTCTGTGAGTTGCATGCAATCATCACAGAGAAGTTTCTGAGAAGGCTTCTGTCTAGATTTTATGTGAAGATATAGCCGTTTCGAACGAAGGCCACAAAGTGCTCCAAATATCCACTTGCAGGTCCTCCAAAAAGAGTGTTTCAAACGTGAACTACCAAAGGAAGGCTCAACTCTGGACTTTGAAGGCCAACGTCAGAAGGATGTTTCTGCAAAAGCTTCTGTTTAGTTAGGTGACGTTATCCCGCTTCCAACGAAATCCTCAGAGAGGTCCAAATATCCACCTGCAGAGTCTCCAAAAGTGTGTTTCTAAACTGCTCCACCCAAAGGAATGTTCAGCTCTGTGAGTTGAACTCAATCATCCCAAAGTATTTTCTGAGAATGCTTCTGTCCAGTTTTTACATGAAGCTGTTTCGTTTACTACCATAGGCCTCAAAGCATTCCAAATCTCCACTTGAAGATAGTACGAAAAGAGCGTTTCAACCTGAACTCACAAGGGAAGGTTCAACTCTGTCAGTTGAATGCCAACATCACAAAGAAGTTCTGAGAGTGTTCCTCTTCAGTTATGTGAGGTTTATCCCGTTTCCCACGAAATTCTCAGAGAAGTCCCAAAATCCACTTGCATATTCCACAAAAGGTGTGTTTGGAAAATGCGCCATCAAAAGATATGCTCAGCTCTGTGAGTTAAACTCAAGCATCGCAAAGAATTTTCTGAGAATGCTTCTGTCTTGTTTTTAGATGAAGTTCTTTCCTTTACTACGATAGGCCTCAAAGAGGTCCAAATCTCCACTTGCAGATTCTGCAGAAGGAGTGTTTCAAACCTGAACTGTCAGAGAAAGGTTCAACACTGTGGGTTGAATGCAAGCATCACGAAGAAGGTTCTGAGAATGCTTCTGTTTACGTAGGTGACTTTTCTCCCGTATCCAGCGAAATCCTCAGAGCGGTCCAAATCTCCACTTGCAGATTCTACACAAAGTGTGTTTGGAAACTGCTCCACCCAAAGGAATGTTCAGCTCTGTGAGTTGAACTCAATGGTCACAAAGCGTTTCCTGGGAATGCTCCTGTCTCGCTTTTATGTACAGTTATATCCTCTACTGCCATAGGCCTCAAAGCGGTCCAAATCTCCCCTTTCAGATTCTACCAGAAATGTGTTTCCAAACGGCCCCATCAAAGGGGATGTTCAACTCGGTGACTTGAATGCAATCATCACAAAGCAGCTTCTGAGAATGCTTCCATGTAGCTTTGATGAGAAGATATTTCCATTTCCACCCCGGGCCTCGAAGCCCTCCAAATGTCCCCTTGCAGATGCTAGAAAGAGAGGGTTTCAAAGCTGCTCTATCAAAAGGAAAGTACAACTCTGCGAGTTGAATGCAAACATCACAAAGAAGTTCCTGAGCATGCTTCCGTTTAGCTTTTACGGGAAGATTATCCCTTTTCCATCGAAATGTTCAAAGAGGTCCACATATCCGCTTGCAGATTCCACCGAAAGAGTGTTTCCAAACTGCTGCATCAAAAGGAATCCTCAGCTCCGTGAGTTGAATGCAATCATCACCAAGAAGTTTGTGACAATGCTTCTCTCTAGTTTTTATGTGAAGATATTTCCTTTTCCACCGCAGGCCTGAAAGCGCTCCAAATGTCCACTTGGAGGCTCTACGAAAAGAATGTTTCAAAACTGCTCTATGAAGAGCCAAGTTATACTCTGGGAGTTGAACACAAGCCTCACAAAGGAGTTTCTGAGAATGCTTCTGTTTACTTTTTACGTGAGGATATTCCCGTTTCCAAAGAAGTCTTCACAGAGTTCCACCTATCCATTTGCAGATGCTAGCAAAAGAGAGTTTCAAAACTGCTCCATCAAAAGGAATGTTCAACTCTGTGAGTTGCATGCAATCATCACAGAGAAGTTTCTGAGAAGGCTTCTGTCTAGATTTTATGTGAAGATATAGCCGTTTCGAACGAAGGCCACAAAGTGCTCCAAATATCCACTTGCAGGTCCTCCAAAAAGAGTGTTTAAAACGTGAACTACCAAAGGAAGGCTCAACTCTGGACTTTGAATGCCAACGTCAGAAGGATGTTTCTGCGAAAGCTTCTATTTAGTTAGGTGACGTTATCCCGTTTCCAACGAAATCCTCAGAGAGGTCCAAATATCCACCTGCAGAGTCTACAAAAAGTGTGTTTCAAAACTGCTCCACCCAAAGGAATGTTCAGCTCTGTGAGTTGAACTCAATCATCCCAAAGTATTTTCTGAGAATGCTTCTGTCCAGTGTTTACATGAAGCTGTTTCCTTTACTACCGTAGGCCTCAAAGCGTTCCAAACCTCCACTTGCAGATACTACGAAAAGAGCGTTTCAACCTGAACTCACAAGGGAAGGTTCAACTCTGTCAGTTGAATGCCAACATCACCAAGAAGATCTGAGAATGTTCCTCTTCAGTTATGTGAGTTTTATCCCGTTTCCAACGAAATTCTCAGAGAAGTCCCAAAAACCACTTGCATATTCCACAAAAGGTGTGTTTTGAAAATGCGCCATCAAAAGATATGCTCAGCTCTGTGAGTTCAACTCAATCATCACAAAGAATTTTCTGAGAATGCTTCCGTCTTGTTTTTAGATGAAGTTCTTACCTTTACTACAATAGGCCTCAAAGAGGTCCAAATCTCCACTTGCAGATTCTGCAGAAGGAGTGTTTCAAACCTGAACTGTCAGAGAAAAGTTCAACACTGTGAGTTGAATGCAAGCATCACGAAGAAGGTTCTGAGAATGCTTCTGTTTTCGTAGGTGACTTTTCTCCCTATCCAACGAAATCCTCAGAGCGGTCCAAATCTCCACTTGCAGATTCTACACAAAGTGTGTTTGGAAACTGCTCCACCCAAAGGAATGTTCGGCTCTGTGAGTTGAACTCAATGGTCACAAAGCGTTTCCTGGGAATGCTCCTGTCTCGCTTTTATGTGCAGTTATATCCTCTACTGCCATAGGCCTCAAAGCGGTCCAAATCTCCCCTTTCAGATTCTACCAAAAGTGTGTTTCCAAACGGCCCCATCAAAGGGGATGTTCAACTCGGTGACTTGAATGCAATCATCACAAAGCAGCTTCTGAGAATGCTTCCATGTAGCTTTGATGAGAAGATATTTCCTTTTCCACCCCAGGCCTCGAAGCCCTCCAAATGTCCCCTTGCAGATGCTAGAAAGAGGGGGTTTCAAAGCTGCTCTATCAAAAGGAAAGTACAACTCTGTGAGTTGAATGCAAACATCACAAGGAAGTTCCTGAGCATGCTTCCGTTTAGCTTTTACGGGAAGATTATCCCTTTTCCATCAAAATGTTCAAAGAGGTCCACATATCCGCTTGCAGATTCCACCGAAAGAGTGTTTCCAAACTGCTGCATCAAAAGGAATCCTCAGCTCCGTGAGTTGAATGCAATCATCACCAAGAAGTTTCTGACAATGCTTCTCACTAGTTTTTATGTGAAGATATTTCCTTTTCCACCGCAGGCCTGAAAGCGCCCCAAATGTCCACTTGGAGGCTCTACGAAAAGAACGTTTCAAAACTGCTCTATGAAAAGCAATGTTATACTCTGGGAGTTGAACACAAGCCTCACAAAGGAGTTTACTGAGAATGCTTCTGTTTACTTTTTACGTGAGGATATTCCCGTTTCCAAAGAAGTCTTCACAGAGTTCCACCTATCCATTTGCAGATGCTAGCAAAAGAGAGTTTCAAAACTGCTCCATCAAAAGGAATGTTCAACTCTGTGAGTTGCATGCAATCATCACAGAAAAGTTTCTGAGAAGGCTTCTGTCTAGATTTTATGTGAAGATATAGCCGTTTCGAACGAAGGCCACAATGTGCTCCAAATATCCACTTGCAGGTCCTCCAAAAAGAGTGTTTCAAACGTGAACTACCAAAGGAAGGCTCAACTCTGGACTTTGAAGGCCAACGTCAGAAGGATGTTTCTGCGAAAGCTTCTGTTTAGTTAGGTGACGTTATCCCGTTTTCAACGAAATCCTCAGAGAGGTCCAAATATCCACATGGAGAGTCTACAAAAAGTGTGTTTCAAAACTGCTCCACCCAAAGGAAGGTTCAGCTCTGTGAGTTGAACTCAATCATCCCAAAGTATTTTCTGAGAAGGCTTCTGTCCAGTTTTTACATGAAGCTGTTTCGTTTACTACCATAGGCCTCAAAGCGTTCCAAATCTCCACTTGAAGATAGTACGAAAAGAGGGTTTCAACCTGAACTCACAAGGGAAGTTTCAACTCTGTCAGTTGAATGCCAACATCACAAAGAAGTTCTGAGAGTGTTCCTCTTCAGTTATGTGAGGTTTATCGCGTTTCCAACGAAATTCTCTGAGAAGTCCCAAAATCCACTTGCATATTCTACAAAAAGTGTGTTTTGAAAATGCGCCATCAAAAGATATGCTCAGCTCTGTGAGTTAAACTCCATCATCGTAAAGAATTTTCTGAGAATGCTTCTGTCTTGTTTTTAGATGAAGTTCTTTCCTTTACTACGATAGGCCTCAAAGAGTTCCAAATCTCCACTTGCAGATTCTGCAGGAGGAGTGTTTCAAACCTGAAATGTCAGAGAAAGGTTCAACACTGTGAGTTGAATGCAAGCATCACGAAGAAGGTTCTCAGAATGCTTCTGTTTACATAGGTGACTTTTCTCCCGTATCCAGCGAAATCCTCAGAGCGGTCCAAATCTCCACTTGCAGATTCTACACAAAGTGTGTTTGGAAACTGCTCCACCCAAAGGAATGTTCAGCTCTGTGAGTTGAACTCAATGGTCACAAAGCGTTTCCTGGGAATGCTACTGTCTCGTTTTTATGTGCAGTTATATCCTCTACTGCCATAGGCCTCAAAGCTGTCCAAATATCCCCTTTAGGATTCTACCAAAATTGTGTTTCCCAACGGCTCCATCAAAGGGAATGTTCAGCTCGGTGACTTGAAAGCAATCATCACAAAGCAGCTTCTGAGAATGCTTCCATGTAGCTTTCATGAGAAGATATTTCCTTTTCCACCCCAGGCCTCGAAGCCCTCCAAATGTCCCCTTGCAGATGCTAGAAAGAGAGGGTTTCAAAGCTGCTCTATCAAAAGGAAAGTACAACTCTGCGAGTTGAATGCAAACATCACAAAGAAGTTCCTGAGCATGCTTCCGTTTAGCTTTTATGGGAAGATTATCCCTTTTCCATCGGAATGTTCAAAGAGGTCCACGTATCCGCTTGCAGATTCCACCGAAAGAGTGTTTCCAAACTGCTGCATCAAAAGGAATCCTCAGCTCCGTGAGTTGAATGCAATCATCACCAAGAAGTTTCTGACAATGCTTCTCTCTAGTTTTTATGTGAAGATATTTCCTTATCCACCACAGGCCTGAAAGGGCTCCAAATGTCCACTTGGAGGCTCTACGAAAAGAATGTTTCAAAACTGCTCCATGAAAAGCCATGTTATACTCTGGGAGTTGAACACAAGCCTCACAAAGGAGTTTCTGAGAATGCTTCTGTTTACTTTTTACGTGAGGATATTCCCGTTTCCAAAGCAGTCTTCACAGAGTTCCACCTATCCATTTGCAGATGCTAGCAAAAGAGAGTTTCAAAACTGCTCCATCAAAAGGAATGTTCAACTCTGTGAGTTGCATGCAATCATCACAGAGAAGTTTCTGAGAAGGCTTCTGTCTAGATTTTACGTGAAGAGATAGCCGTTTCGAACGAAGGCCACAAAGTGCTCCAAATATCCACTTGCAGGTCCTCCAAAAAGAGTGTTTCAAACGTGAACTACCAAAGGAAGGCTCACCTCTGGACTTTGAAGGCCAACGTCAGAAGGATGTTTCTGCGAAAGCTTCTGTTTAGTTAGGTGACGTTATCCCGTTTCCAACGAAATCCTCAGAGAGGTCCAAATATCCACCTGCGGAGTCTACAAAAAGTGTGTTTCCAAACTGCTCCACCCAAAGGAATGTTCAGCTCTGTGAGTTGAACTCAATCGTCCCAAAGTATTTTCTGAGAATGCTTCTGTCCAGTTTTTACATGAAGCTGTTTCCTTTACTACCGTAGGCCTCAAAGCGTTCCAAACCTCCACTTGCAGATCCTACGAAAAGAGCGTTTCAACCTGAACTCACAAGGGAAGGTTCAACTCTGTCAGCTGAATGCCAACATCACCAAGAAGTTCTGAGAATGTTCCTCTTCAGTTATGTGAGGTTTATCCCGTTTCCAACGAAATTCTCAGAGAAGTCCCAAAATCCACTTGCATATTCCACAAAAGGTGTGTTTGGAAATTGTGCCATCAAAAGATATGCTCAGCTCTGTGAGTTAAACTCAATCATTGCAAAGAATTTTCTGAGAATGCTTCTGTCTTGTTTTTAGATGAAGTTCTTTCCTTTACTACGATAGGCCTCAAAGAGGTCCAAATCTCCACTTGCAGATTCTGCAGAAGGAGTGTTTCAAACCTGAACCGTCAGAGAAAGGTTCAACACTGTGAGTTGAATGCAAGCATCACGAAGATGGTTCTGAGAATGCTTCCGTTTACGTAGGTGAGTTCTCTCCCGTATCCAACGAAATCCTCAGAGCGGTCCGAATCTCCACTTGCAGATTCTACACAAAGTGTGTTTGGAAACTGCTCCATCCAAAGGAATGTTCAGCTCTGTGAGTTGAACTCAATCGTCACAAAGTGTTTCCTGGGAATGCTCCTGTCTCGCTTTTATGTGCAGTTATATCCTCTACTGCCATAGGCCTCAAAGCGGTCCAAATCTCCCCTTTCAGATTCTACCAAAAGTGTGTTTCCAAACGGCCCCATCAAAGGGGATGTTCAACTCGGTGACTTGAATGCAATCATCACAAAGCAGCTTCTGAGAATGCTTCCATGTAGGTTTGATGAGAAGATATTTCCTTTTCCACCCCAGGCCTCGAAGCCCTCCAAATGTCCCCTTGCAGATGCTAGAAAGAGGGGATTTCAAAGCTGCTCTATCAAAAGGAAAGTACAACTCTGTGAGTTGAATGCAAACATCACAAGGAAGTTCCTGAGCATGCTTCCGTTTAGCTTTTACGGGAAGATTATCCCTTTTCCATCGAAATGTTCAAAGAGGTCCACATATCCGCTTGCAGATTCCACCGAAAGAGTGTTTCCAAACTGCTGCATCCAAACGAATCCTCAGCTCCGTGAGTTGAATGCAATCATCACCAAGAAGTTTCTGACAATGCTTCTCTCTACTTTTTATGTGAAGATATTTCCTTTTCCACCGCAGGCCTGAAAGCGCTCCAAATGTCCACTTGGAGGCTCTACGAAAAGAATGTTTCAAAACTGCTCTATGAAAAGCAATGTTATACTCTGGGAGTTGAACACAAGCCTCACAAAGGAGTTTCTGAGAATGCTTCTGTTTACTTTTTACGTGAGGATATTCCCGTTTCCAAAGAAGTCTTCACAGAGTTCCACCTATCCATTTGCAGATGCTAGCAAAAGAGAGTTTCAAAACTGCTCCATCAAAAGGAATGTTCAACTCTGTGAGTTGCATGCAATCATCACAGAGAAGTTTCTGAGAAGGCTTCTGTCTAGATTTTATGTGAAGATATAGCCGTTTCGAACGAAGGCCACAAAGTGCTCCAAATATCCACTTGCAGGTCCTCCAAAAAGAGTGTTTCAAACGTGAACTACCAAAGGAAGGCTCAACTCGGGACTTTGAAGGCCAACGTCAGAAGGATGTTTCTGCGGAAGCTTCTGTTTAGTTAGGTGACGTTATCCCGTCTCCAACGAAATCCTCGGAGAGGTCCAAATATCCACCTGCAGAGTCTACAAAAAGTGTGTTTCAAAACTGCTCCACCCAAAGGAATGTTCAGCTCTGTGAGTTGAACTCAATCATCCCAAAGTATTTTCTGAGAATTCTTCTGTCCAGTTTTTACATGAAGCTGTTTCCTTTACTACCGTAGGCCTCAAAGCGTTCCAAACCTCCACTTGCAGATACTACGAAAAGAGCGTTTCAACCTGAACTCACAAGGGAAGGTTCAACTCTGTCAGTTGAATGCCAACATCACCAAGAAGTTCTGAGAATGTTCCTCTTCAGTTATGTGAGGTTTATCCCGTTTCCCACGAAATTCTCAGAGAAGTCCCTAAATCCACTTGCATATTCCACAAAAGGTGTGTTTGGAAAATGCGCCATCAAAAGATATGCTCAGCTCTGTGAGTTAAACTCAATCATCGCAAAGAATTTTCTGAGAATGCTTCCGTCTTGTTTTTAGATGAAGTTCTTTCCTTTACTACCACAGGCCTCAAAGAGGTCCAAATCTCCACTGGCAGATTCTGCAGAAGGAGTGTTTCAAACCTGAACTGTCAGAGAAAGGTTCAACACTGTGAGTTGAATGCAAACATCACGAAGAAGGTTCTGAGAATGCTTCTGTTTACGTAGGTGACTTTTCTCCCGTATCCAGCGAAATCCTCAGAGCGGTCCAAATCTCCACTTGCAGATTCTACACAAAGTGTGTTTGGAAACTGCTCCACCCAAAGGAATGTTCAGCTCTGTGAGTTGAACTCAATCGTCACAAAGCGTTTCCTGGGAATGCTCCTGTCTCGCTTTTATGTGCAGTTTATCCTCTGCTGCCATAGGCCTCAAAGCGTTCCAAATATCCCCTTTCAGATTCTACCAGAAGTGTGTTTCCAAACGGCTCCATCAAAGGGAATGTGCAACTCGGTGACTTGAAAGCAATCATCACAAAGCAGCTTCTGAGAATGCTTCCATGTAGCTTTGATGAGAAGATATTTCCTTTTCCACCCCAGGCCTCGAAGCCCTCCAAATGTCCCCTTGCAGATGCTAGAAAGAGAGGGTTTCAAAGCTGCTCTATCAAAAGGAAAGTACAACTCTGTGAGTTGAATGCAAACTTCACAAAGAAGTTCCAGAGCATGCTTCCGTTTAGCTTTTACGGGAAGATTATCCCTTTTCCATCGGAATGTTCAAAGAGGTCCACATATCCGCTTGCAGCTTCCACCGAAAGAGTGTTTCCATACTGCTGCATCAAAAGGAATCCTCAGCTCCGTGAGTTGAATGCAATCATCACCAAGAAGATTCTGAGAATGCTTCTCTCTAGTTTTTATGTGAAGATATTTCCTTTTCCACCGCAGGCCTGAAAGCGCTCCAAATGTCCACTTGGAGGCTCTACGAAAAGAATGTTTCAAAACTGCTCTATGAAAAGCAATGTTATACTCTGGGAGTTGAACACAAGCCTCACAAAGGAGTTTCTGAGAATGCTTCTGTTTACTTTTTACGTGTGGATATTCCCGTTTCCAAAGAAGTCTTCACAGAGTTCCACCTATCCATTTGCAGATGCTAGCAAAAGACAGTTTCAAAACTGCTCTATCAAAAGGAATGTTCAACTCTGTGAGTTGCATGCAATCATCACAGAGAAGTTTCTGAGAAGGCTTCTGTCTAGATTTTATGTGAAGATATAGCCGTTTCGAACGAAGGCCACAAAGTGCTCCAAATATCCACTTGCAGGTCCTCCAAAAAGAGTGTTTCAAACGTGAACTACCAAAGGAAGGCTCAACTCGGGACTTTGAAGGCCAACGTCAGAAGGATGTTTCTGCGGAAGCTTCTGTTTAGTTAGGTGACGTTATCCCGTTTCCAACGAAATCCTCAGAGAGGTCCAAATATCCACCTGCAGAGTCTACAAAAAGTGTGTTTCAAAACTGCTCCACCCAAAGGAAGGTTCAGCTCTGTGAGTTGAACTCAATCATCCCAAAGTATTTTCTGAGAAGGCTTCTGTCCAGTTTTTACATGAAGCTGTTTCCTTTACTACTGTAGGCCTCAAAGCGTTCCAAACCTCCACTTGCAGATACTACGAAAAGAGCGTTTCAACCTGAACTCACAAGGGAAGGTTCAACTCTGTCAGTTGAATGCCAACGTTACCAAGAACTTCTGAGAATGTTCCTCTTCAGTTATGTGAGGTTTATCCCGTTTCCAACGAAATTCTCAGAGAAGTCCCAAAATCCACTTGCATATTCTACAAAAGGTGTGTCTTGAAAATGCGTCATCAAAAGATATGCTCACCTCTGTGAGTTCAACTCAATCATCGCAAAGAATTTTCTGAGAATGCTTCTGTCTTGCTTTTAGATGAAGTTCTTTCCTTTACTACGATAGGCCTCAAAGAGGTCCAAATCTCCACTTGCAGATTCTGCAGAAGGTGTGTTTCAAACCTGAACTGTCAGAGAAAGGTTCAACACTGTGAGTTGAATGCAAGCATCACGAAGAAGGTTCTGAGAATGCTTCTGTTTACATAGTTGACTTTTCTCCCGTATCCAGCGAAATCCTCAGAGCGGTCCAAATCTCCACTTGCAGATTCTACACAAAGTGTGTTTGGAGACTGCTCCATCCAAAGGAATGTTCAGCTCTGTGAGTTGAACTCAATCGTCACAAAGTGTTTCCTGGGAATGCTACTGTCTCGTTTTTATGTGCAGTTATGTCCTCTACTGCCATAGGCCTCAAAGCGGTCCAAATATCCCCTTTCAGATTCTACCAAAAGTGTGTTTCCAAACGACTCCATCAAAGGGAATGTACAACTCGGTGACTTGAATGCAATCATCACAAAGCAGCTTCTGAGAATGCTTCCATGTAGCTTTGATGAGAAGATATTTCCTTTTCCACCCCAGGCCTCGAAGCCCTCCAAATGTCCCCTTGCAGATGCTAGAAAGAGAGGGTTTCAAAGCTGCTCTATCAAAAGGAAAGTACAACTCTGCGAGTTGAATGCAAACATCACAAAGAAGTTCCTGAGCATGCTTCAGTTTAGCTTTTATGGGAAGATTATCCCTTTTCCATCGCAATGTTCAAAGAGGTCCACATATCCGCTTGCAGATTCCACCGAAAGAGTGTTTCCAAACTGCTGCATCAAAAGGAATCCTCAGCTCCGTGAGTTGAATGCAATCATCACCAAGAAGTTTCTGACAATGCTTCTCTCTAGTTTTTATGTGAAGATATTTCCTTATCCACCACAGGCCTGAAAGCGCTCCAAATGTCCACTTGGAGGCTCTACGAAAAGAATGTTTCAAAACTGCTCCATGAAAAGCAATGTTATACTCTGGGAGTTGAACACAAGCCTCACAAAGGAGTTTCTGAGAATGCTTCTGTTTACTTTTTACGTGAGGATATTCCCGTTTCAAAAGAAGTCTTCACAGAGTTCCACCTATCCATTTGCAGATGCTAGCAAAAGAGAGTTTCAAAACTGCTCTATCAAAAGGAACGTTCAACTCTGTGAGTTGCATGCAATCATCACAGAGAAGTTTCTGAGAAGGCTTCTGTCTAGATTTTATGTGAAGATACAGCCGTTTCGAACGAAGGCCACAAAGTGCTCAAAATATCCACTTGCAGGTCCTCCAAAAAGAGTGTTTCAAACGTGAACTACCAAAGGAAGGCTCAACTCTGGACTTTGAAGGCCAACGTCAGAAAGATGTTTCTGCGAAAGCTTCTGTTTAGTTAGGTGACGTTATCCCGTTTCCAACGAAATCCTCAGAGAGTTCCAAATATCCACCTGCAGAGTCTACAAAAAGTGTGTTTCAAAACTGCTCCACCCAAAGGAATGTTCAGCTCTGTGAGTTGAACTCAATCATCCCAAAGTATTTTCTGAGAATGCTTCTGTCCAGTTTTTACATGAAGCTGTTTCCTTTACTACCGTAGGCCTCAAAGCGTTCCAAATCTCCACTTGCAGATGCTACGAAAAGAGCGTTTCAACCTGAACTCACAAGGGAAGGTTCACCTCTGTCAGTTGAATGTCAACATCACAAAGAAGTTCTGAGAAGGTTCCTCTTCAGTTATGTGAGGTTTATCCCGTTTCCAACGAAATTCTCGGAGAAGTCCCAATATCCACTTGCATATACTACAAAACGTGTGTTTTGAAAATGCTCCATCAAAAGACCTGCTCAGCTCTGTGAGTTAAACTCAATCATCGCAAAGAATTTTCTGAGAATGCTTCCGTCTTGTTTTTAGATGAAGTTCTTTCCTTTACTACGATAGGCCTCAAGGAGGTCCAAATCTCCACTTGCAGATTCTGCAGAAGGAGTGTTTCAAACCTGAACTGTCAGAGAAAGGTTCAACACTGTGAGTTGAATGCAAGCATCACGAAGAAGGTTCTGAGAATGCTTCCGTTTACGTAGGTGAGTTCTCTCCCGTATCCAATGAAATCCTCAGAGCGGTCCGAATCTCCACTTGCAGATTCTACACAAAGTGTGTTTGGAAACTGCTCCATCCAAAGGAATGTTCAGCTCCGTGAGGTGAACTCAATCGTCACAAAGTGTTTCCTGGGAATGCTACTGTCTCGTTTTTATGTGCAGTTATATCCTCTACTGCCATAGGCCTCAAAGCGGTCCAAATCTCCCCTTTCAGATTCTACCAAAAGTGTGTTTCCCAACGGCTCCATCAAAGGGAATGTTCAGCTCGGTGACTTGAAAGCAATCATCACAAAGCAGCTTCTGAGAATGCTTCCATGTAGCTTTGATGAGAAGATATTTCCTTTTCCACCCCAGGCCTCGAAGCCCTCCAAATGTCCCCTTGCAGATGCTAGAAAGAGGGGGTTTCAAAGCTGCTCTATCAAAAGGAAAGTACAACTCTGTGAGTTGAATGCAAACATCACAAGGAAGTTCCTGAGCATGCTTCCGTTTAGCTTTTACGGGAAGATTATCCCTTTTCCATCGAAATGTTCAAAGAGGTCCACATATCCGCTTGCAGATTCCACCGAAAGAGTGTTTCCAAACTGCTGCATCCAAAGGAATCCTCAGCTCCGTGAGTTGAAGGCAATCATCACCAAGAAGTTTCTGACAATGCTTCCCTCTAGCTTTTATGTGAAGATATTTCCTTTTCCACCGCAGGCCTGAAAGCGCTCCAAATGTCCACTTGGAGGCTCTACGAAAAGAATGTTTCAAAACTGCTCTATGAAAAGCAATGTTATACTCTGGGAGTTGAACACAAGCCTCACAAAGGAGTTTCTGAGAATGCTTCTGTTTACTTTTTACGTGAGGATATTCCCGTTTCCAAAGAAGTCTTCAAAGAGTTCCACCTACCCATTTGCAGATGCTAGCAAAAGAGAGTTTCAAAAATGCTCCATCAAAGGGAATGTTCAACTCTGTGAGTTGCATGCAATCATCACAGAGAAGTTTCTGAGAAGGCTTCTGTCTAGATTTTATGTGAAGATATGGCCGTTTCGAACGAAGGCCACAAAGTGCTCCCAATATCCACTTGCAGGTCCTCCAAAAAGAGTGTTTCAAACGTGAACTACCAAAGGAAGGCTCAACTCTGGACTTTGAATGCCAACGTCAGAAGGATGTTTCTGCGAAAGCTTCTGTTTAGTTAGGCGACGTTATCCCGTTTCCAACGAAATCCTCAGAGAGGTCCAAATATCCACCTGCAGAGTCTACAAAAAGTGTGTTTCAAAACTGCTCCACCCAAAGGAATGTTCAGCTCTGTGAGTTGAACTCAATCATCCCAAAGTATTTTCTGAGAATGCTTCTGTCCACTTTTTACATGAAGCTGTTTCCTTTACTACCGCAGGCCTGAAAGCGTTCCAAACCTCCACTTGCAGATACTACGAAAAGAGCGTTTCAACCTGAACTCAAAAGGGAAGGTTCAACTCTGTCAGTTGAATGCCAACATCACCAAGAACTTCTGAGAATGTTCCTCTTCAGTTATGTGAGTTTTATCCCGTTTCCAACGAAATTCTCAGAGAAGTCCCAAAAACCACTTGCATATTCCACAAAAGGTGTGTTTTGAAAATGCGCCATCAAAAGATATGCTCAGCTCTGTGAGTTCAACTCAATCATCACAAAGAATTTTCTGAGAATGCTTCTGTCTTGTTTTTAGATGAAGTTCTTTCGTTTACTACGATAGGCCTCAAAGAGGTCCAAATCTCCACTTGCAGATTCTGCAGAAGGAGTGTTTCAAACCTGAACTATCAGAGAAAGGTTCAACACTGTGAGTTGAATGCAAGCATCACGAAGAAGGTTCTGAGAATGCTTCCGTTTACGTAGGTGAGTTCTCTCCCGTATCCAACGAAATCCTCAGAGCGGTCCGAATCTCCACTTGCAGATTCTACACAAAGTGTGTTTGGAAACTGCTCCATCCAAAGGAATGTTCAGCTGCGTGAGTTGAACTCAATCGTCACAAAGTGTTTCCTGGGAATGCTACAGTCTCATTTTTATGTGCAGTTATATCCTCTACTGCCATAGGCCTCAAAGCGGTCCAAATCTCCCCTTTCAGATTCTACCAAAAGTGTGTTTCCAAACGGCTCCATCAAAGGGAATGTTCAGCTCGGTGACTTGAAAGCAATCATCACAAAGCAGCTTCTGAGAATGCTTCCATGTAGCTTTGATGAGAAGATATTTCCTTTTCCACCCCAGGCCTCGAAGCCCTCCAAATGTCCCCTTGCAGATGCTAGAAAGAGGGGGTTTCAAAGCTGCTCTATCAAAAGGAAAGTACAACTCTGTGAGTTGAATGCAAACATCACAAGGAAGTTCCTGAGCATGCTTCCGTTTAGCTTTTACGGGAAGATTATCCCTTTTCCATCGAAATGTTCAAAGAGGTCCACATATCTGCTTGCAGATTCCACCGAAAGAGTGTTTCCAAACTGCTGCATCAAAAGGAATCCTCAGCTCCGTGAGTTGAATGCAATCATCACCAAGAAGTTTCTGACAATGCTTCTCTCTAGCTTTTATGTGAAGATATTTCCTTTTCCACCGCAGGCCTGAAAGCGCTCCAAATGTCCACTTGGAGGCTCTACGAAAAGAATGTTTCAAAACTGCTCTATGAAAAGCAATGTTATACTCTGGCAGTTGAACACAAGCCTCACAAAGGAGTTTCTGAGAATGCTTCTGTTTACTTTTTACGTGAGGATATTCCCGTTTCCAAAGAAGTCTTCACAGAGTTCCACCTATCCATTTGCAGATGCTAGCAAAAGAGAGTTTCAAAACTGCTCCATCAAAAGGAATGTTCAACTCTGTGAGTTGCATGCAATCATCACAGAGAAGTTTCTGAGAAGGCTTCTGTCTAGATTTTATGTGAAGATATGGCCGTTTCGAACGAAGGCCACAAAGTGCTCCAAATATCCACTTGCAGGTCCTCCAAAAAGAGTGTTTCAAACGTGAACTACCAAAGGAAGGCTCAACTCTGGACTTTGAAGGCCAACGTCAGAAGGAGGTTTCTGCGAAAACTTCTGTTTAGTTAGGTGACGTTATCCCGTTTCCAACGAAATCCTCAGAGAGTTCCAAATATCCACCTGCAGAGTCTACAAAAAGTGTGTTTCAAAACTGCTCCACCCAAAGGAATGTTCAGCTCTGTGAGTTGAACTCAATCATCCCAAAGTATTTTCTGAGAATGCTTCTGTCCAGTTTTTACATGAAGCTGTTTCCTTTACTACCGTAGGCCTCAAAGCATTCCAAACCTCCACTTCCAGATACTACGAAAAGAGCGTTTCAACCTGAACTCACAAGGGAAGGTTCAACTCTGCCAGTTGAATGCCAACATCACCAAGAACTTCTGAGAATGTTCCCTTCAGTTACGTGAGGTTTATCCCGTTTCCAACGAAATTCTCAGAGAAGTCCCAAAATCCACTTGCATATTCCACAAAAGGTGTGTTTTGAAAATGCGCCATCAAAAGATATGCTCAGCTCTGTGAGTTAAACTCAATCATCGCAAAGTATTTTCTGAGAATGCTTCCGTCTTGTTTTTAGATGAAGTTCTTTCCTTTACTACGATAGGCCTGAAGGAGGTCCAAATGTCCACTTGCAGATTCTGCAGAAGGAGTGTTTCAAACCTGAACTGTCAGAGAAAGGTTCAACACTGTGAGTTGAATGCAAGCATCACGAAGAAGGTTCTGAGAATGCTTCTGTTTACGTAGGTGACTTTTCTCCCGTATCCAACGAAATCCTCAGAGCGGTCCAAATCTCCACTTGCAGATTCTACACAAAGTGTGTTTGGAAACTGCTCCACCCAAAGGAATGTTCAGCTCTGTGAGTTGAACTCAATCGTCACAAAGCGTTTCCTGGGAATGCTCCTGTCTCGATTTTATGTGCAGTTATATCCTCTACTGCCATAGGCCTCAAAGCGGTCCAAATCTCCCCTTTCAGATTCTACCAAAAGTGTGTTTCCAAACGGCCCCATCAAAGGGGATGTTCAACTCGGTGACTTGAATGCAATCATCACAAAGCAGCTTCTGAGAATGCTTCCATGTAGGTTTGATGAGAAGATATTTCCTTTTCCACCCCAGGCCTCGAAGCCCTCCAAATGTCCCCTTGCAGATGCTAGAAAGAGGGGATTTCAAAGCTGCTCTATCAAAAGGAAAGTACAACTCTGTGAGTTGAATGCAAACATCACAAGGAAGTTCCTGAGCATGCTTCCGTTTAGCTTTTACGGGAAGATTATCCCTTTTCCATCGAAATGTTCAAAGAGGTCCACATATCCGCTTGCAGATTCCACCGAAAGAGTGTTTCCAAACTGCTGCATCCAAAGGAATCCTCAGCTCCGTGAGTTGAATGCAATCATCACCAAGAAGTTTCTGACAATGCTTCTCTCTAGTTTTTATGTGAAGATATTTCCTTTTCCACCGCAGGCCTGAAAGCGCTCCAAATGTCCACTTGGAGGCTCTACGAAAAGAATGTTTCAAAACTGCTCTATGAAAAGCAATGTTATACTCTGGGAGTTGAACACAAGCCTCACAAAGGAGTTTCTGAGAATGCTTCTGTTTACTTTTTACGTGAGGATATTCCCGTTTCCAAAGAAGTCTTCACAGAGTTCCACCTATACATTTGCAGATGCTAGCAAAAGAGAGTTTCAAAACTGCTCCATCAAAAGGAATGTTCAACTCTGTGAGTTGCATGCAATCATCACAGAGAAGTTTCTGAGAAGGCTTCTGTCTAGATTTTATGTGAAGATATGGCCGTTTCGAACGAAGGCCACAAAGCGCTCCCAATATCCACTTGCAGGTCCTCCAAAAAGAGTGTTTCAAAGGTGAACTACCAAAGGAAGGCTCAAATCTGGACTTTGAATGCCAACGTCAGAAGGATGTTTCTGCGAAAGCTTCTGTTTAGTTAGGTGACGTTATCCCGTTTCCAACGAAATCCTCAGAGAGGTCCAAATATCCACCTGCAGAGTCTACAAAAAGTGTGTTTCAAAACTGCTCCACCCAAAGGAATGTTCAGCTCTGTGAGTTGAACTCAATCATCCCAAAGTATTTTCTGAGAAGGCTTCTGTCCAGTTTTTACATGAAGCTGTTTCCTTTACTACCGTAGGCCTCAAAGCGTTCCAAACCTCCACTTGCAGATACTACGAAAAGAGCGTTTCAACCTGAACTCACAAGGGAAGGTTCAACTCTGCCAGTTGAATGCCAACATCACCAAGAACTTCTGAGAATGTTCCTCTTCAGTTATGTGAGGTTTATCCCGTTTCCAACGAAATTCTCAGAGAAGTCCCAAAATCCACTTGCATATTCCACAAAAGGTGTGTTTGGAAATTGTGCCATCAAAAGATATGCTCAGCTCTGTGAGTTAAACTCAATCATTGCAAAGAATTT
Source organism: Homo sapiens (assembly GCF_000001405.40). Lineage (NCBI taxonomy): Eukaryota > Metazoa > Chordata > Mammalia > Primates > Hominidae > Homo > Homo sapiens. The sequence goes on along the minus strand of NC_000001.11, from coordinate 122,147,817 downwards.
TCTGAGAATGCTTCCGTCTTGTTTTTAGATGAAGTTCATTCCTTTACTACGATGGGCCTCAAAGAGGTCCAAATCTCCACTTGCAGATTCTGCAGAAGGAGTGTTTCAAACCTGAACTGTCAGAGAAAGGTTCAACACTGTGAGTTGAATGCAAGCATCACGAAGAAGGTTCTGACAATGCTTCTGTTTACGTATGTGACTTTTCTCCCGTATCCAACGAAACCCTCAGAGCGGTCCAAATCTCCACTTGCAGATTCTACACAAGGTGTGTTTGGAAACTGCTCCACCCAAAGGAATGTTCAGCTCTGTGAGTTGAACTCAATCGTCACAAAGCGTTTCCTGGGAATGCTCCTGTCTCGCTTTTATGTGCAGTTAAATCCTCTGCTGCCATAGGCCTCAAAGCGGTCCAAATCTCCCCTTTCAGATTCTACCAAAAGTGTGTTTCCAAACGGCCCCATCAAAGGGGATGTTCAACTCGGTGACTTGAATGCAATCTTCACAAAGCAGCTTCTGAGAATGCTTCCATGTAGCTTTGATGAGAAGATATTTCCTTTTCCACCCCAGGCCTCGAAGCCCTCCAAATGTCCCCTTGCAGATGCTAGAAAGAGGGGGTTTCAAAGCTGCTCTATCAAAAGGAAAGTACAACTCTGTGAGTTGAATGCAAACATCACAAGGAAGTTCCTGAGCATGCTTCCGTTTAGCTTTTACGGGAAGATTATCCCTTTTCCATCGAAATGTTCAAAGAGGTCCACATATCCGCTTGCAGATTCCACCGAAAGAGTGTTTCCAAACTGCTGCATCAAAAGGAATCCTCAGCTCCGTGAGTTGAATGCAATCATCACCAAGAAGTTTCTGACAATGCTTCCCTCTAGCTTTTATGTGAAGATATTTCCTTTTCCACCGCAGGCCTGAAAGCGCTCCAAATGTCCACTTGGAGGCTCTACGAAAAGAATGTTTCAAAACTGCTCTATGAAAAGCAATGTTATACTCTGGGAGTTGAACACAAGCCTCAGAAAGGAGTTTCTGAGAATGCTTCTGTTTACTTTTTACTTGAGGATATTCCCGTTTCCAAAGAAGACTTCACAGAGTTCCACCTATCCATTTGCAGATGCTAGCAAAAGAGAGTTTCAAAACTGCTCCATCAAAAGGAATGTTCAACTCTGTGAGTTGCATGCAATCATCACAGAGAAGTTTCTGAGAAGGCTTCTGTCTAGATTTTACGTGAAGATATAGCCGTTTCGAACGAAGGCCACAAAGTGCTCCAAATATCCACTTGCAGGTCCTCCAAAAAGAGTGTTTCAAACGTGAACTACCAAAGGAAGGCTCAACTCTGGACTTTGAAGGCCAACGTCAGAAGGATGTTTCTGCGAAAGCTTCTGTTTAGTTAGGTGACGTTATCCCGTTTCCAACGAAATCCTCAGAGAGGTCCAAATATCCACCTGCAGAGTCTACAAAAAGTGTGTTTCAAAACTGCTCCACCCAAAGGAAGGTTCAGCTCTGTGAGTTGAACTCAATCATCCCAAAGTATTTTCTGAGAAGGCTTCTGTCCAGTTTTTACATGAAGCTGTTTCCTTTACTACCGTAGGCCTCAAAGCGTTCCAAACCTCCACTTGCAGATACTACGAAAAGAGCGTTTCAACCTGAACTCACAAGGGAAGGTTCAACTCTGTCAGTTGAATGCCAACATCACCAAGAACTTCTGAGAATGTTTCTCTTCAGTTATGTGAGGTTTATCCCGTTTCCCACGAAATTCTCAGAGAAGTCCAAATATCCACTTGGATATTCTACAAAAAGTGTGTTTTCAAAATGCTCCATCAAAAGATATGCTCAGCTCTGTGTGTTAAACTCAATCATCACAAAGAATTTTCTGAGAATGCTTCCGTCTTGTTTTTAGATGAAGTTCTTTCCTTTACTACGATAGGCCTCAAGGAGGTCCAAATCTCCACTTGCAGATTCTGCAGAAGGAGTGTTTCAAACCTGAACTGTCAGAGAAAGGTTCAACACTGTGAGTTGAATGCAAGCATCACGAAGAAGGTTCTGAGAATGCTTCTGTTTACGTAGGTGACTTTTCTCCCTATCCAACGAAATCCTCAGAGCGGTCCAAATCTCCACTTGAAGATTCTACACAAAGTGTGTTTGGAAACTGCTCCACCCAAAGGAATGTTCAGCTCTGTGAGTTGAACTCAATCGTCACAAAGCGTTTCCTGGGAATGCTCCTGTCTCGCTTTTATGTGCAGTTATATCCTCTACTGCCATAGGCCTCAAAGCGGTCCAAATCTCCCCTTTCAGATTCTACCAAAAGTGTGTTTCCAAACGGCCCCATCAAAGGGGATGTTCAACTCGGTGACTTGAATGCAATCATCACAAAGCAGCTTCTGAGAATGCTTCCATGTAGCTTTGATGACAAGATATTTCCTTTTCCACCCCAGGCCTCAAAGCCCTCCAAATGTCCCCTTGCAGATGCTAGAAAGAGAGGGTTTCAAAGCTGCTCTATCAAAAGGAAAGTACAACTCTGTGAGTTGAATGCAAACATCACAAGGAAGTTCCTGAGCATGCTTCCGTTTAGCTTTTACGGGAAGATTATCCCTTTTCCATCGGAATGTTCAAAGAGGTCCACATATCCGCTTGCAGCTTCCACCGAAAGAGTGTTTCCATACTGCTGCACCAAAAGGAATCCTCAGCTCCGTGAGTTGAATGCAATCATCACCAAGAAGATTCTGAGAATGCTTCTCTCTAGTTTTTATGTGAAGATATTTCCTTTTCCACCGCAGGCCTGAAAGCGCTCCAAATGTCCACTTGGAGGCTCTACGAAAAGAATGTTTCAAAACTGCTCTATGAAAAGCAATGTTATACTCTGGGAGTTGAACACAAGCCTCACAAAGGAGTTTCTGAGAATGCTTCTGTTTACTTTTTACGTGAGGATATTCCCGTTTCCAAAGAAGTCTTCACAGAGTTCCACCTATCCATTTGCAGATGCTAGCAAAAGAGAGTTTCAAAACTGCTCTATCAAAAGGAATGTTCAACTCTGTGAGTTGCATGCAATCATCACAGAGAAGTTTCTGAGAAGGCTTCTGTCTAGATTTTATGTGAAGATATGGCCGTTTCGAACGAAGGCCACAAAGTGCTCCCAATATCCACTTGCAGGTCCTCCAAAAAGAGTGTTTCAAACGTGAACTACCAAAGGAAGGCTCAACTCTGGACTTTGAATGCCAACGTCAGAAGGATGTTTCTGCGAAAGCTTCTGTTTAGTTAGGTGACGTTATCCCGTCTGCAACGAAATCCTCAGAGAGGTCCAAATATCCACCTGCAGAGTCTACAAAAAGTGTGTTTCAAAACTGCTCCACCCAAAGGAATGTTCAGCTCTGTGAGTTGAACTCAATCATCCCAAAGTATTTTCTGAGAATGCTTCTGCCCAGTTTTTACGTGAAGCTCTTTCCTTTACTACCATAGGCCTCAAACGTTCCAAACCTCCACTTGCATATACTACGAAAAGAGCGTTTCAACCTGAACTCACAAGGGAAGGTTCAACTCTGTCAGTTGAATGCCAACATCACCAAGAACTTCTGAGAATGTTCCTCTTCAGTTATGTGAGGTTTATCCCGTTTCCCACGAAATTCTCAGAGAAGTCCCAAAATCCACTTGCATATTCTACAAAAGGTGTGTTTGGAAAATGCGCCATCAAAAGATATGCTCAGCTCTGTGAGTTAAACTCAATCATCGCAAAGAATTTTCTGAGAATGCTTCTGTCTTGTTTTTAGATGAAGTTCTTTCCTTTACTACGATAGGCCTCAAAGAGGTCCAAATCTCCACTTGCAGATTCTGCAGAAGGAGTGTTTCAAACCTGAACTATCAGAGAAAGGTTCAACACTGTGAGTTGAATGCAAGCATCACGAAGAAGGTTCTGAGAATGCTTCTGTTTACGTAGGTGAGTTTTCTCCCGTATCCAATGAAATCCTCAGAGCGGTCCAAATCTCCACTTGCAGATTCTACAAAAAGTGTGTTTTGAAACTGCTCCATCCAAAGGAATGTTCAGCTCTGTGAATTGAACTCAATCGTCACAAAGTGTTTCTGGGAATGCTCCTGTCTCCTTTTTATGTGCAGTTATATCCTCTACTGCCATAGGCCTCAAAGCGGTCCAAATCTCCCCTTTCAGATTCTACCAAAAGTGTGTTTCCAAACGGCTCCATCAAAGGGAATGTTCAACTCGGTGACTTGAATGCAATCATCACAAACCAGTTTCTGAGAATGCTTCCATGTAGCTTTGATGAGAAGATATTTCCTTTTCCACCCCAGGCCTCGAAGCCCTCCAAATGTCCCCTTGCAGATGCTAGAAAGAGAGGGTTTCAAAGCTGCTCTATCAAAAGGAAAGTACAACTCTGTGAGTTGAATGCAAACTTCACAAAGAAGTTCCTGAGCATGCTTCCGTTTAGCTTTTACGGGAAGATTATCCCTTTTCCATCGAAATGTTCAAAGAGGTCCACATATCCGCTTGCAGATTCCACACAAAGAGTGTTTCCAAACTGCTGCATCCAAAGGAATCCTCAGCTCCGTGAGTTGAATGCAATCATCACCAAGAAGTTTCTGACAATGCTTTCTCTCTAGCTTTTATGTGAAGATATTTCCTTTTCCACCGCAGGCCTGAAAGCGCTCCAAATGTCCACTTGGAGGCTCTACTAAAAGAATGTTTCAAAACTGCTCTATGAAAAGCAATGTTATACTCTGGGAGTTGAACACAAGCCTCACAAAGGAGTTTCTGAGAATGCTTCTGTTTACTTTTTACGTGAGGATATTCCCGTTTCCAAAGAAGTCTTCACAGAGTTCCACCTATCCATTTGCAGATGTTAGCAAAAGAGAGTTTCAAAACTGCTCCATCAAAAGGAATGTTCAACTCTGTGACTTGCATGCAATCATCACAGAGAAGTTTCTGAGAAGGCTTCTGTCTAGATTTTACATGAAGATATAGCCGTTTCGAACGAAGGCCACAAAGTGCTCCAAATATCCACTTGCAGGTCCTCCAAAAAGAGTGTTTCAAACGTGAACTACCAAAGGAAGGCTCAACTCTGGACTTTGAAGGCCAACGTCAGAAGGATGTTTCTACGAAACCTTCTGTTTAGTTAGGTGACGTTATCCCGTTTCCAACGAAATCCTCAGAGAGGTCCAAATATCCACCTGCGGAGTCTACAAAAAGTGTGTTTCCAAACTGCTCCACCCAAAGGAATGTTCAGCTCTGTGAGTTGTACTCAATCGTCCCGAAGTATTTTCTGAGAATGCTTCCGTCCAGTTTTTACATGAAGCTGTTTCCTTTACTACCGTAGGCCTGAAAGCGTTCCAAACCTCCACTTGCAGATACTACGAAAAGAGAGTTTCAACCTGAACTCACAAGGGAAGGTTCAACTCTGTCAGTTGAATGCCAACATCACAAAGAAGTTCTGAGAATGTTTCTCTTCAGTTATGTGAGGTTTATCCCGTTTCCCACGAAATTCTCAGGGAAGTCCAAATATCCACTTGCATATTCTACAAAAAGTGTGTTTTGAAAATGCTCCATCAAAAGATATGCTCAGCTCTGTGTGTTAAACTCAATCATCACAAAGAATTTTCTGAGAATGCTTCTGTCTTGTTTTTAGATGAAGTTCTTTCCTTTACTACGACAGGCCTCAAAGAGGTCCAAATCTCCACTTGCAGATTCTGCAGAAGGAGTGTTTCAAACCTGAACTGTCAGAGAAAGGTTCAACACTGTGAGTTGAATGCAAGCATCGCGAAGAAAGTTCTGAGAATGCTTCCGTTTACGTAGGTGAGTTCTCTCCCGTATCCAATGAAATCCTCAGAGCGGTCCGAATCTCCACTTGCAGATTCTACACAAAGTGTGTTTGGAAACTGCTCCATCCAAAGGAATGTTCAGCTCCGTGAGGTGAACTCAATCGTCACAAAGTGTTTACCTGGGAATGCTACAGTCTCATTTTTATGTGCAGTTATATCCTCTACTGCCATAGGCCTCAAAGCTGTCCAAATCTCCCCTTTCAGATTCTACCAAAAGTGTGTTTCCAAACGGCTCCATCAAAGGGAATGTTCAGCTCGGTGACTTGAAAGCAATCATCACAAAGCAGCTTCTGAGAATGCTTCCATGTAGCTTTGATGAGAAGATATTTCCTTTTCCACCCCAGGCCTCGAAGCCCTCCAAATGTCCCCTTGCAGATGCTAGAAAGAGGGGGTTTCAAAGCTGCTCTATCAAAAGGAAAGTACAACTCTGTGAGTTGAATGCAAACATCACAAGGAAGTTCCTGAGCATGCTTCCGTTTAGCTTTTACGGGAAGATTATCCCTTTTCCATCGAAATGTTCAAAGAGGTCCACATATCCGCTTGCAGATTCCACCGAAAGAGTGTTTCCAAACAGATGCATCAAAAGGAATCCTCAGCTCCGTGAGTTGAATGCAATCATCACCAAGAGGTTTCTGACAATGCTTCTCTCTAGTTTTTATGTGAAGATATTTCCTTTTCCACCGCAGGCCTGAAAGCGCTCCAAATGTCCACTTGGAGGCTCTACGAAAAGAATGTTTCAAAACTGCTCTATGAAGAGCAATGTTATACTCTGGGAGTTGAACACAAGCCTCACAAAGGAGTTTCTGAGAATGCTTCTGTTTACTTTTTACGTGGGGATATTCCCGTTTCCAAAGAAGTCTTCACAGAGTTCCACCTATCCATTTGCAGATGCCAGCAAAACTAGAGAGTTTCAAAACTGCTCTATCAAAAGGAATGTTCACCTCTGTGAGTTGCGTGCAATCATCACAGAGAAGTTTCTGAGAAGGCTTCTGTCTAGATTTTATGTGAAGATATAGCCGTTTCGAACGAAGGCCACAAAGTGCTCCAAATATCCACTTGCAGGTCCTCCAAAAAGAGTGTTTCAAACGTGAACTACCAAAGGAAGGCTCAACTCGGGACTTTGAAGGCCAACGTCAGAAGGATGTTTCTGCGGAAGCTTCTGTTTAGTTAGGTGACGTTATCCCGTTTCCAACGAAATCCTCAGAGAGGTCCAAATATCCACCTGCGGAGTCTACAAAAAGTGTGTTTCCAAACTGCTCCACCCAAAGGAATGTTCAGCTCTGTGAGTTGAACTCAATCGTCCCAAAGTATTTTCTGAGAATGCTTCTGTCCAGTTTTTACGTGAAGCTGTTTCCTTTACTACCGTAGGCCTCAAAGCGTTCCAAATCTCCACTTGCAGATGCTACGAAAAGAGCGTTTCAACCTGAACTCACAAGGGAAGGTTCACCTCTGTCAGTTGAATGTCAACATCACAAAGAAGTTCTGAGAATGTTCCTCTTCAGTTATGTGAGGTTTATCCCGTTTCCAACGAAATTCTCAGAGAAGTCCCAATATCCACTTGCATATTCTACAAAACGTGTGTTTTGAAAATGCTCCATCAAAAGACCTAATCAGCTCTGTGAGTTAAACTCAATCATTGCAAAGAATTTTCTGAGAATGCTTCTGTCTTGTTTTTAGATGAAGTTCTTTCCTTTACTACGACAGGCCTCAAAGACGTCCAAATCTCCACTTGCAGATTCTGCAGAAGGAGTGTTTCAAACCTGAACTGTCAGAGAAAGGTTCAACACTGTGAGTTGAATGCAAGCATCACGAAGAAGGTTCTGAGAATGCTTCTGTTTACGTAGGTGAGTTTTCTCCCGTATCCAACGAAATCCTCAGAGCGGTCCAAATCTCCACTTGCAGATTCTACACAAAGTGTGTTTGGAAACTGCTCCATCCAAAGGAATGTTCAGATCTGTGAGTTGAACTCAATGGTCACAAAGCGTTTCCTGGGAATGCTCCTGTCTCGCTTTTATGTGCAGTTATATCCTCTACTGCCATAGGCCTCAAAGCGGTCCAAATCTCCCCTTTCAGATTCTACCAAAAGTGTGTTTCCAAACGGCTCCATCAAAGGGAATGTTCAACTCGGTGACTTGAATGCAATCATCACAAAGCAGTTTCTGAGAATGTTTCCATGTAGCTTTGATGAGAAGATATTTCCTTTTCCACCCCAGGCCTCGAAGCCCTCCAAATGTCCCCTTGCAGATGCTAGAAAGAGAGGGTTTCAAAGCTGTTCTATCAAAAGGAAAGTACAACTCTGCGAGTTGAATGCAAACATCACAAAGAAGTTCCTGAGCATGCTTCCGTTTAGCTTTTACGGGAAGATTATCCCTTTTCCATCGAAATGTTCAAAGAGGTCCACATATCCGCTTGCAGATTCCACCGAAAGAGTGTTTCCAAACTGCTGCATCCAAAGGAATCCTCAGCTCCGTGAGTTGAATGCAATCATCACCAAGAAGTTTCTGACAATGCTTCTCTCTAGTTTTTATGTGAAGATATTTCCTTTTCCACCGCAGGCCTGAAAGCGCTCCAAATGTTCACTTGGAGGCTCTACGAAAAGAATGTTTCAAAACTGCCCTATGAAAAGCAATGTTATACTCTGGGAGTTGAACACAAGCCTCACAAAGGAGTTTCTGAGAATGCTTCTGTTTACTTTTTACGTGAGGATATTCCCGTTTCCAAAGAAGTCTTCACAGAGTTCCACCTATACATTTGCAGATGCTAGCAAAAGAGAGTTTCAAAACTGCTCCATCAAAAGGAATTTTCAACTCTGTGAGTTGCATGCAATCATCACAGAGAAGTTTCTGAGAAGGCTTCTGTCTAGATTTTACATGAAGATATAGCCGTTTCGAACGAAGGCCACAAAGTGCTCCAAATATCCACTTGCAGGTCCTCCAAAAAGAGTGTTTCAAACGTGAACTACCAAAGGAAGGCTCAACTCTGGACTTTGAAGGCCAACGTCAGAAGGATGTTTCTACGAAACCTTCTGTTTAGTTAGGTGACGTTATCCCGTTTCCAACGAAATCCTCAGAGAGGTCCAAATATCCACCTGCGGAGTCTACAAAAAGTGTGTTTCCAAACTGCTCCACCCAAAGGAATGTTCAGCTCTGTGAGTTGAACTCAATCGTCCCAAAGTATTTTCTGAGAATGCTTCTGTCCAGTTTTTACATGAAGCTGTTTCCTTTACTACCGTAGGCCTCAAAGCGTTCCAAACCTCCACTTGCAGATCCTACGAAAAGAGCGTTTCAACCTGAACTCACAAGGGAAGGTTCAACTCTGTCAGTTGAATGCCAACATCACCAAGAAGTTCTGAGAATGTTCCTCTTCAGTTATGGGAGTTTTATCCCGTTTCCAACGAAATTCTCAGAGAAGTCCCAAAATCCACTTGCATATTCCACAAAAGGTGTGTTTGGAAAATGCGCCATCAAAAGATATGCTCAGCTCTGTGAGTTAAACTCAAGCATCGCAAAGAATTTTCTGAGAATGCTTCCGTCTTGTTTTTAGATGAAGTTCTTTCCTTTACTACGATAGGCCTCAAAGAGGTCCAAATCTCCACTTGCAGATTCTGCAGAAGGAGTGTTTCAAACCTGAACTGTCAGAGAAAGGTTCAACACTGTGAGTTGAATGCAAGCATCACGAAGAAGGTTCTGAGAATGCTTCTGTTTACGTAGGTGACTTTTCTCCCGTATCCAGCGAAATCCTCACAGTGGTCCAAATCTCCACTTGCAGATTCTACACAAAGTGTGTTTGGAAACTGCTCCACCCAAAGGAATGTTCAGCTCTGTGAGTTGAACTCAATGGTCACAAAGCGTTTCCTGGGAATGCTCCTGTCTCGCTTTTATGTGCAGTTATATCCTCTACTGCCATAGGCCTCAAAGCGGTCCAAATCTCCCCTTTCAGATTCTACCAAAGGTGTGTTTCCAAACGGCTCCATCAAAGGGGATGTTCTACTCGGTGACTTGAATGCAATCATCACAAAGCAGCTTCTGAGAATGCTTCCATGTATCTTTGATGAGAAGACATTTCCTTTTCCACCCCAGGCCTCGAAGCCCTCCAAATGTCCCCTTGCAGATGCTAGAAAGAGAGGGTTTCAAAGCTGCTCTATCAAAAGGAAAGTACAACTCTGCGAGTTGAATGCAAACATCACAAAGAAGTTCCTGAGCATGCTTCCGTTTAGCTTTTATGGGAAGATTATCCCTTTTCCATCGGAATGTTCAAAGAGGTCCACGTATCCGCTTGCAGATTCCACCGAAAGAGTGTTTCCAAACTGCTGCATCAAAAGGAATCCTCAGCTCCGTGAGTTGAATGCAATCATCACCAAGAAGTTTCTGACAATGCTTCTCTCTAGTTTTTATGTGAAGATATTTCCTTATCCACCACAGGCCTGAAAGGGCTCCAAATGTCCACTTGGAGGCTCTACGAAAAGAATGTTTCAAAACTGCTCCATGAAAAGCAATGTTATACTCTGGGAGTTGAACACAAGCCTCACAAAGGAGTTTCTGAGAATGCTTCTGTTTACTTTTTACGTGTGGACATTCCCGTTTCCAAAGAAGTCTTCACAGAGTTCCACCTATCCATTTGCAGATGCTAGCAAAAGAGAGTTTCAAAACTGCTCCATCAAAAGGAATGTTCAACTCTGTGAGTTGCATGCAATCATCACAGAGAAGTTTCTGAGAAGGCTTCTGTCTAGATTTTATGTGAAGATATAGCCGTTTCGAACGAAGGCCACAAAGTGCTCCAAATATCCACTTGCAGGTCCTCCAAAAAGAGTGTTTCAAACGTGAACTACCAAAGGAAGGCTCAACTCTGGACTTTGAATGCCAACGTCAGAAAGATGTTTCTGCGAAAGCTTCTGTTTAGTTAGGCGACGTTATCCCGTTTCCAACGAAATCCTCAGAGAGGTCCAAATATCCACCTGCAGAGTCTACAAAAAGTGTGTTTCAAAACTGCTCCACCCAAAGGAATGTTCAGCTCTGTGAGTTGAACTCAATCATCCCAAAGTATTTTCTGAGAATGCTTCTGTCCAGTTTTTACATGAAGCTGTTTCCTTTACTACCGTAGGCCTCAAAGCGTTCCAAACCTCCACTTGCAGATACTACGAAAAGAGCGTTTCAACCTGAACTCACAAGGGAAGGTTCAACTCTGTCAGTTGAATGCCAACATCACCAAGAAGTTCTGAGAATGTTCCTCTTCAGTTATGTGAGGTTTATCCCGTTTCCAACGAAATTCTCAGAGAAGTCCCAATATCCACTTGCATATTCTACAAAACGTGTGTTTTGAAAATGCTCCATCAAAAGACCTGCTCAGCTCTGTGAGTTAAACTCAATCATCGCAAAGAATTTTCTGAGAATGCTTCTGTCTTGTTTTTAGATGAAGTTCTTTCCTTTACTACGACAGGCCTCAAAGAGGTCCAAATCTCCACTTGCAGATTCTGCAGAAGGAGTGTTTCAAACCTGAACCGTCAGAGGAAGGTTCAACACTGTGAGTTGAATGCAAGCATCACGAAGAAGGTTCTGAGAATGCTTCTGTTTACGTAGGTGACTTTTCTCCCGTATCCAACGAAATCCTCAGAGCGGTCCAAATCTCCACTTGCAGATTCTACACAAAGTGTGTTTGGAAACTGCTTCACCCAAAGGAATGTTCAGCTCTGTGAGTTGAACTCAATCGTCACAAAGCGTTTACCTGGGAATGCTCCCTGTCTCGCTTTTATGTGCAGTTATATCCTCTACTGCCATAGGCCTCAAAGCGGTCCAAATCTCCCCTTTCAGATTCTACCAAAAGTGTGTTTCCAAACGGCCCCATCAAAGGGGATGTTCAACTCGGTGACTTGAATGCAATCATCACAAAGCAGCTTCTGAGAATGCTTCCATGTAGCTTTGATGAGAAGATATTTCCTTTTCCACCCCAGGCCTCGAAGCCCTCCAAATGTCCCCTTGCAGATGCTAGAAAGAGGGGGTTTCAAAGCTGCTCTATCAAAAGGAAAGTACAACTCTGTGAGTTGAATGCAAACATCACAAGGAAGTTCCTGAGCATGCTTCCGTTTAGCTTTTACGGGAAGATTATCCCTTTTCCATCGAAATGTTTAAAGAGGTCCACATATCCGCTTGCAGATTCCACACAAAGAGTGTTTCCAAACTGCTGCATCCAAAGGAATCCTCAGCTCCGTGAGTTGAATGCAATCATCACCAAGAAGTTTCTGACAATGCTTCTCTCTACTTTTTATGTGAAGATATTTCCTTTTCCACCGCAGGCCTGAAAGCGCTCCAAATGTCCACTTGGAGGCTCTACGAAAAGAATGTTTCAAAACTGCTCTATGAAAAGCAATGTTATACTCTGGGAGTTGAACACAAGCCTCACAAAGGAGTTTCTGAGAATGCTTCTGTTTACTTTTTACGTGAGGATATTCCCGTTTCCAAAGAAGTCTTCAAAGAGTTCCACCTACCCATTTGCAGATGCTAGCAAAAGAGAGTTTCAAAAATGCACCATCAAAGGGAATGTTCAACTCTGTGAGTTGCATGCAATCATCACAGAGAAGTTTCTGAGAAGGCTTCTGTCTAGATTTTACATGAAGATATAGCCGTTTCGAACGAAGGCCACAAAGTGCTCCAAATATCCACTTGCAGGTCCTCCAAAAAGAGTGTTTCAAACGTGAACTACCAAAGGAAGGCTCAACTCTGGACTTTGAAGGCCAACGTCAGAAGGATGTTTCTACGAAACCTTCTGTTTAGTTAGGTGACGTTATCCCTTCTGCAACGAAATCCTCAGAGAGGTCCAAATATCCACCTGCAGAGTCTACAAAAAGTGTGTTTCAAAACTGCTCCACCCAAAGGAATGTTCAGCTCTGTGAGTTGAACTCAATCATCCCAAAGTATTTTCTGAGAATGCTTCTGTCCAGTTTTTACATGAAGCTGTTTCCTTTACTACCGTAGGCCTCAAAGCATTCCAAACCTCCACTTCCAGATACTACGAAAAGAGCGTTTCAACCTGAACTCACAAGGGAAGGTTCAACTCTGCCAGTTGAATGCCAACATCACCAAGAACTTCTGAGAATGTTCCCTTCAGTTACGTGAGGTTTATCCCGTTTCCAACGAAATTCTCAGAGAAGTCCCAAAATCCACTTGCATATTCCACAAAAGGTGTGTTTTGAAAATGCGCCATCAAAAGATATGCTCAGCTCTGTGAGTTAAACTCAATCATCGCAAAGTATTTTCTGAGAATGCTTCCGCCTTGTTTTTAGATGAAGTACTTTCCTTTACTACGATAGGCCTCAAAGAGGTCCAAATCTCCACTTGCAGATTCTGCAGAAGGAGTGTTTCAAACCTGAACTGTCAGAGAAAGTTTCAACACTGTGAGTTGAATGCAAGCATCACGAAGAAGGTTCTGAGAATGCTTCTGTTTACGTAGGTGACTTTTCTCCCGTATCCAACGAAATCCTCAGAGCGGTCCAAATCTCCACTTGCAGATTCTACACAAAGTGTGTTTGGAAACTGCTCCACCCAAAGGAATGTTCAGCTCTGTGAGTTGAACTCAATCGTCACAAAGCGTTTCCTGGGAATGCTACTGTCTCATTTTTATGTGCAGTTATATCCTCTACTGCCATAGGCCTCAAAGCGGTCCAAATCTCCCCTTTCAGATTCTACCAAAAGTGTGTTTCCAAAAGGCTCCATCAAAGGGAATGTTCAGCTCGGTGACTTGAAAGCAATCATCACAAAGCAGCTTCTGAGAATGCTTCCATGTAGCTTTGATGAGAAGATATTTCCTTTTCCACCCCCGGCCTCGAAGCCCTCCAAATGTCCCCTTGCAGATGCTAGAAAGAGGGGGTTTCAAAGCTGCTCTATCAGAAGGAAAGTACAACTCTGTGAGTTGAATGCAAACATCACAAGGAAGTTCCTGAGCATGCTTCCGTTTAGCTTTTACGGGAAGATTGTCCCTTTTCCATCGAAATGTTCAAAGAGGTCCACATATCCGCTTGCAGATTCCACCGAAAGAGTGTTTCCAAACTGCTGCATCCAAAGGAATCCTCAGCTCCGTGAGTTGAGTGCAATCATCGCCAAGAAGTTTCTGACAATGCGTCTCTCTAGTTTTTATGTGAAGATATTTCCTTATCCACCACAGGCCTGAAAGCGCTCCAAATGTCCACTTGGAGGCTCTACGAAAAGAATGTTTCAAAACTGCTCCATGAAAAGCAATGTTATACTCTGGGAGTTGAACACAAGCCTCACAAAGGAGTTTCTGAGAATGCTTCTGTTTACTTTTCACATGAGGATATTCCCGTTTCCAAAGAAGTCTTCACAGAGTTCCACCTATCCATTTGCAGATGCTAGCAAAAGAGAGTTTCAAAACTGCTCTATCAAAAGGAATGTTCAACTCTGTGAGTTGCATGCAATCATCACAGAGAAGTTTCTGAGAAGGCTTCTGTCTAGATTTTATGTGAAGATATAGCTGTTTCGAACGAAGACCACAATGTGCTCCAATATCCACTTGCAGGTCCTCCAAAAAGAGTGTTTCAAACGTGAACTACCAAAGGAAGGCTCAACTGTGGACTTTGAATGCCAACGTCAGAAAGATGTTTCTGCGAAAGCTTCTGTTTAGTTAGGTGACGTTATCCCGTCTCCAACGAAATCCTCAGAGAGGTCCAAATATCCACCTGCAGAGTCTACAAAAAGTGTGTTTCAAAACTGCTCCACCCAAAGGAATGTTCAGCTCTGTGAGTTGAACTGAATCATCCCAAAGTATTTTCTGACAATGCTTCTGTCCAGTTTTTACATGAAGCTGTTCCCTTTACTACCGTAGGCCTCAAAGCGTTCCAAACCTCCACTTGCAGATACTACGAAAAGAGCGTTTCAACCTGAACTCACAAGGGAAGGTTCAACTCTGTCAGTTGAATGCCAACATCACCAAGAAGTTCTGAGAATGTTCCTCTTCAGTTATGTGAGGTTTATCCCGTTTCCAACGAAATTCTCAGAGAAGTCCCAAAATCCACTGGCATATTCCACAAAAGGTGTGTTTGGAAATTGCGCCATCAAAAGATATGCTCAGCTCTGTGAGTTAAACTCAATCATCGCAAAGTATTTTCTGAGAATGCTTCCGTCTTGTTTTTAGATGAAGTTCTTTCCTTTACTACGATAGGCCTCAAAGAGGTCCAAATCTCCACTAGCAGATTTTGCAGAAGGAGTGTTTCAAACCTGAACTGTCAGAGAAAGGTTCAACACTGTGAGTTGAATGCAAGCATCACGAAGAAGGTTCTGAGAATGCTTCTGTTTACGTAGGTGACTTTTCTCCCGTATCCAATGAAATCCTCAGAGCGGTCCAAATCTCCACTTGAAGATTCTACACAAAGTGTGTTTGGAAACTGCTCCACCCAAAGGAATGTTCAGCTCTGTGAGTTGAACTCAATCGTCACAAAGCGTTTCCTGGGAATGCTCCTGTCTCGTTTTTATGTGCAGTTATATCCTCTACTGTCATGTGCCTCAGAGCGGTCCAAATCTCCCCTTTCAGATTCTAACAAAAGTGTGTTTCCAAACGGCTCCATCAAGGGGAATGTTCAACTCGGTGACTTGAATGCAATCATCACAAAGCAGCTTCTGAGAATGTTCCATGTAGCTTTGATGAGAAGATATTTCCTTTTCCACCCCAGGCCTCGAAGCCCTCCAAATGTCCCCTTGCAGATGCTAGAAAGAGGGGGTTTCAAAGCTGCTCTATCAAAAGGAAAGTACAACTCTGTGAGTTGAATGCAAACATCACAAGGAAGTTCCTGAGCATGCTTCCGTTTAGCTTTTACGGGAAGATTATCCCTTTTCCATCGAAATGTTCAAAGAGGTCCACATATCCGCTTGCAGATTTCACCGAAAGAGTGTTTCCAAACTGCTGCATCAAAAGGAATCCTCAGCTCCGTGAGTTGAATGCAATCATCACCAAGAAGTTTCTGACAATGCTTCTCACTAGTTTTTATGTGAAGATATTTCCTTTTCCACCGCAGGCCTGAAAGCGCCCCAAATGTCCACTTGGAGGCTCTACGAAAAGAACGTTTCAAAACTGCTCTATGAAAAGCAATGTTATACTCTGGGAGTTGAACACAAGCCTCACAAAGGAGTTTCTGAGAATGCTTCTGTTTACTTTTTACGTGAGGATATTCCCGTTTCCAAAGAAGTCTTCACAGAGTTCCACCTATCCATTTGCAGATGCTAGCAAAAGAGAGTTTCAAAACTGCTCTATCAAAAGGAATGTTCAACTCTGTGAGTTGCATGCAATCATCACAGAGAAGTTTCTGAGAAGGCTTCTGTCTAGATTTTATGTGAAGATATAGCCGTTTCGAACGAAGGCCACAAAGTGCTCCAATATCCACTTGCAGGTCCTCCAAAAAGAGTGTTTCAAACGTGAACTACCAAAGGAAGGCTCAACTGTGGACTTTGAATGCCAACGTCAGAAAGATGTTTCCGCGAAAGCCTCTGTTTAGTTAGGCGACGTTATCCCATTTCCAACGAAATCCTCAGAGAGGTCCAAATATCCACCTGCAGAGTCTACAAAAAGTGTGTTTCAAAACTGCTCCACCCAAAGGAATGTTCAGCTCTGTGAGTTGAACTCAATCATCCCAAAGTATTTCCTGAGAATGCTTCTGTCCAGTTTTTACGTGAAGCTGTTTCCTTTACTACCGTAGGCCTCAAAGCGTTCCAAATCTCCACTTGCAGATGCTACGAAAAGAGCGTTTCAACCTGAACTCACAAGGGAAGGTTCACCTCTGTCAGTTGAATGTCAACATCACAAAGAAGTTCTGAGAATGTTCCTCTTCAGTTATGTGAGGTTTATCCCGTTTCCAACGAAATTCTCAGAGAAGTCCCAAAATCCACTGGCATATTCCACAAAAGGTGTGTTTGGAAATTGCGCCATCAAAAGATATGCTCAGCTCTGTGAGTTAAACTCAATCATCGCAAAGTATTTTCTGAGAATGCTTCCGTCTTGTTTTCAGATGAAGTTCTTTCCTTTACTACGATAGGCCTCAAGGAGGTCCAAATCTCCACTTGCAGATTCTGCAGAAGGAGTGTTTCAAACCTGAACTGTCAGAGAAAAGTTCAACACTGTGAGTTGAATGCAAGCATCACGAAGAAGGTTCTGAGAATGCTTCTGTTTACGTAGGTGACTTTTCTCCCTTATCCAACGAAATCCTCAGAGCGGTCCAAATCTCCACTTGCAGATTCTACACAAAGTGTGTTTGGAAACTGCTCCACCCAAAGGAATGTTCAGCTCTGTGAGTTGAACTCAATGGTCACAAAGCGTTTCCTGGGAATGCTCCTGTCTCGCTTTTATGTGCGGTTATATCCTCTACTGCCATAGGCCTCAAAGCGGTCCAAATCTCCCCTTTCAGATTCTACCAAAGGTGTGTTTCCAAACGGCCCCATCAAAGGGGATGTTCAACTCGGTGACTTGAATGCAATCATCACAAAGCAGCTTCTGAGAATGCTTCCATGTAGCTTTGATGAGAAGATATTTCCTTTTCCACCCCAGGCCTCGAAGCCCTCCAAATGTCCCCTTGCAGATGCTAGAAAGAGGGGGTTTCAAAGCTGCTCTATGAAAAGGAAAGTACAACTCTGTGAGTTGAATGCAAACATCACAAGGAAGTTCCTGAGCATGCTTCCGTTTAGCTTTTACGGGAAGATTATCCCTTTTCCATCGAAATGTTCAAAGAGGTCCACATATCCGCTTGCAGATTCCACCGAAAGAGTGTTTCCAATCTGCTGCATCAAAAGGAATCCTCAGCTCCGTGAGTTGAATGCAATCATCACCAAGAAGTTTCTGACAATGCTTCTCTCTAGTTTTTATGTGAAGATATTTCCTTTTCCACCGCAGGCCTGAAAGCGCTCCAAATGTCCACTTGGAGGCTCTACGAAAAGAATGTTTCAAAACTGCTCTATGAAAAGCAATGTTATACTCTGGGAGTTGAACACAAGCCTCACAAAGGAGTTTCTGAGAATGCTTCTGTTTACTTTTTACGTGAGGATATTCCCGTTTCCAAAGAAGTCTTCACAGAGTTCCACCTATACATTTGCAGATGCTAGCAAAAGAGAGTTTCAAAACTGCTCCATCAAAAGGAATGTTTAACTCTGTGAGTTGCATGCAATCATCACAGAGAAGTTTCTGAGAAGGCTTCTGTCTAGATTTTATGTGAAGATATGGCCGTTTCGAACGAAGGCCACAAAGTGCTCCCAATATCCACTTGCAGGTCCTCCAAAAAGAGTGTTTCAAACGTGAACTACCAAAGGAAGGCTCAACTCTGGACTTTGAATGCCAACGTCAGAAGGATGTTTCTGCGAAAACTTCTGTTTAGTTAGGTGACGTTATCCCGTCTCCAACGAAATCCTCAGAGAGGTCCAAATATCCACCTGCAGAGTCTACAAACAGTGTGTTTCAAAACTGCTCCACCCAAAGGAATGTTCAGCTCTGTGAGTTGAACTCAATCATCCCAAAGTATTTTCTGAGAATTCTTCTGTCCAGTTTTTACATGAAGCTGTTTCCTTTACTACCGTAGGCCTCAAAGCATTCCAAACCTCCACTTGCAGATACTACGAAAAGAGCGTTTCAACCTGAACTCACAAGGGAAGGTTCAACTCTGCCAGTTGAATGCCAACATCACCAAGAACTTCTGAGAATGTCCTCTTCAGTTATGTGAGGTTTATCCCGTTTCCAACGAAATTCTCAGAGAAGTCCCAATATCCACTTGCATATTCTACAAAACGTGTGTTTTGAAAATGCTCCATCAAAAGACCTGCTCAGCTCTGTGAGTTAAACTCAATCATCGCAAAGAATTTTCTGAGAATGCTTCCGTCTTGTTTTTAGATGAAGTTCTTTCCTTTACTACGACAGGCCTCAAAGAGGTCCAAATCTCCACTGGCAGATTCTGCAGAAGGAGTGTTTCAAACCTGAACTGTCAGAGAAAGGTTCAACACTGTGAGTTGAATGCAAGCATCACGAAGAAGGTTCTGAGAATGCTTCTGTTTACGTAGGTGACTTTTCTCCCGTATCCAGCGAAATCCTCAGAGCGGTCCAAATCTCCACTTGCAGATTCTACACAAAGTGTGTTTGGAAACTGCTCCACCCAAAGGAATGTTCAGTTCTGTGAGTTGAACTCAATCGTCACAAAGCGTTTCCTGGGAATGCTCCTGTCTCGCTTTTATGTGCAGTTATATCCTCTACTGCCATAGGCCTCAAAGCGGTCGAAATCTCCCCTTTCAGATTCTACCAAAAGTGTGTTTCCTAACGGCCCCATCAAAGGGGATGTTCAACTCGGTGACTTGAAAGCAATCATCACAAAGCAGCTTCTGAGAATGCTTCCATGTATCTTTGATGAGAAGACATTTCCTTTTCCACCCCAGGCCTCGAAGCCCTCCAAATGTCCCCTTGCAGATGCTAGAAAGTGAGGGTTTCAAAGCTGCTCTATCAAAAGGAAAGTACAACTCTGCGAGTTGAATGCAAACATCACAAAGAAGTTCCTGAGCATGCTTTCGTTTAGCTTTTATGGGAAGATTATCCCTTTTCCATCGAAATGTTCAAAGAGGTCCACATATCCGCTTGCAGATTCCACCGAAAGAGTGTTTCCAAACTGCTGCATCAAAAGGAATCCTCAGCTCCGTGAGTTGAATGCAATCATCACCAAGAGGTTTCTGACAATGCTTCTCTCTAGTTTTTATGTGAAGATATTTCCTTTTCCAACGCAGGCCTCAAAGTGACCCAAATGTCCACTTGGAGGCACTACGAAAAGAATGTTTCAAAACTGCTCTATGAAAAGCAATGTTATACTCTGGGAGTTGAACACAAGCCTCACAAAGGAGTTTCTGAGAATGCTTCTGTTTACTTTTTACGTGAGGATATTCCCGTTTCCAAAGAAGTTTTCACAGAGTTCCACCTATCCATTTGCAGATGCCAGCAAAACTAGAGAGTTTCAAAACTGCTCTATCAAAAGGAATGTTCAACTCTGTGAGTTGCGTGCAATCATCACAGAGAAGTTTCTGAGAAGTCTTCTGTCTAGATTTTATGTGAAGATATAGCCGTTTCGAACGAAGGCCACAAAGTGCTCCAAATATCCACTTGCAGGTCCTCCAAAAAGAGTGTTTCAAACGTGAACTACCAAAGGAAGGCTCAACTCGGGACTTTGAAGGCCAACGTCAGAAGGATGTTTCTGCGGAAGCTTCTGTTTAGTTAGGTGACGTTATCCCGTTTTCAACGAAATCCTCAGAGAGGTCCAAATATCCACATGCAGAGTCTACAAAAAGTGTGTTTCAAAACTGCTCCACCCAAAGGAAGGTTCAGCTCTGTGAGTTGAACTCAATCATCCCAAAGTATTTTCTGAGAAGGCTTCTGTCCAGTTTTTACATGAAGCTGTTTCCTTTACTACCGTAGGCCTCAAAGCGTTCCAAACCTCCACTTGCAGATACTACGAAAAGAGCGTTTCAACCTGAACTCACAAGGGAAGGTTCAACTCTGTCAGTTGAATGCCAACGTCACCAAGAACTTCTGAGAATGTTCCTCTTCAGTTATGTGAGGTTTATCCCGTTTCCAACGAAATTCTCAGAGAAGTCCCAAAATCCACTTGCATATTCTACAAAAGGTGTGTCTTGAAAATGCGCCATCAAAAGATATGCTCAGCTCTGTGAGTTAAACTCAATCATCGCAAAGAATTTTCTGAGAATGCTTCTGTCTTGTTTTCAGATGAAGTTCTTTCCTTTACTACGATAGGCCTCAAAGAGGTCCAAATCTCCACTTGCAGATTCTGCAGAAGGAGTGTTTCAAACCTGAACTGTCAGAGAAAGGTTCAACACTGTGAATTGAATTCAAGCATCACGAAGAAGGTTCTGAGAATGCCTCTGTTTACGTAGGTGAGTTCTCTCCCGTATCCAACGAAATCCTCAGAGCGGTCCGAATCTCCACTTGCAGATTCTACACAAAGTGTGTTTGGAAACTGCTCCATCCAAAGGAATGTTCAGCTCCGTGAGTTGAACTCAATCGTCACAAAGTGTTTCCTGGGAATGCTCCAGTCTCGCTTTTATGTACAGTTATATCCTCTACTGAAATAGGCCTCAAAGCGGTCCAAATCTCCCCTTTCAGATTCTACCAGAAATGTGTTTCCAAACGGCCCCATCAAAGGGGATGTTCAACTCGGTGACTTGAATGCAATCATCACAAAGCAGCTTCTGAGAATGCTTCCATGTAGCTTTGATGAGAAGATATTTCCTTTTCCACCCCAGGCCTCGAAGCCCTCCAAATGTCCCCTTGCAGATGCTAGAAAGAGGGGGTTTCAAAGCTGCTCTATCAAAAGGAAAGTACAACTCTGTGAGTTGAATGCAAACATCACAAGGAAGTTCCTGAGCATGCTTCCGTTTAGCTTTTACGGGAAGATTATCCCTTTTCCATCGAAATGTTCAAAGAGGTCCACATATCCGCTTGCAGATTCCACCGAAAGAGTGTTTCCAAACTGCTGCATCCAAAGGAATCCTCAGCTTCGTGAGTTGAATGCAATCATCACCAAGAAGTTTCTGACAATGCTTCTCACTAGTTTTTATGTGAAGATATTTCCTTTTCCACCGCAGGCCTGAAAGCGCCCCAAATGTCCACTTGGAGGCTCTACGAAAAGAACGTTTCAAAACTGCTCTATGAAAAGCAATGTTATACTCTGGGAGTTGAACACAAGCCTCACAAAGGAGTTTCTGAGAATGCTTCTGTTTACTTTTTACGTGAGGATATTCCCGTTTCCAAAGAAGTCTTCACAGAGTTCCACCTATCCATTTGCAGATGCTAGCAAAAGAGAGTTTCAAAACTGCTCTATCAAAAGGAATGTTCAACTCTGTGAATTGCATGCAATCATCACAGAGAAGTTTCTGAGAAGGCTTCTGTCTAGATTTTATGTGAAGATATGGCCGTTTCGAACGAAGGCCACAAAGTGCTCCCAATATCCACTTGCAGGTCCTCCAAAAAGAGTGTTTCAAACGTGAACTACCAAAGGAAGGCTCAACTCTGGACTTTGAATGCCAACGTCAGAAGGATGTTTCTGCGAAAGCTTCTGTTTAGTTAGGCGACGTTATCCCGTTTCCAACGAAATCCTCAGAGAGGTCCAAATATCCACCTGCAGAGTCTACAAAAAGTGTGTTTCAAAACTGCTCCACCCAAAGGAATGTTCAGCTCTGTGAGTTGAACTCAATCATCCCAAAGTATTTTCTGAGAATGCTCGGCCGGGCCCCGTGGCTCACGCCTGTAATCCCAGCACTTTGGGAGGCCGAGGCGGGCGGATCCCGAGGTCAGGAGATCGAGCCCATCCCGGCTAAAACGGTGAAACCCCGTCTCTACTAAAAATACAAAAAATTAGCCGGGCGTAGTGGCGGGCGCCTGTAGTCCCAGCTACTTGGGAGGCTGAGGCAGGAGAATGGCGTGAACCCGGGAGGCGGAGCTTGCAGTGAGCCGAGATGCCGCCACTGCACTCCAGCCTGGGCGACAGAGCGAGACTCCGTCTCCAAAAAAAAAAAAAAAAAAAAAAAAAAAAAAAAAGAAAAGAGCGTTTCAACCTGAACTCACAAGGGAAGGTTCAACTCTGTCAGTTGAATGCCAACATCACCAAGAACTTCTGAGAATGTT